>NC_000017.11:3521414-3672929 GCF_000001405.40 Homo sapiens | reverse complement strand
GGATTACAGGCAACAGCCACCGCACCTGGCCCATTTTTACCCGTATTTTAAAGGAAAATGTAAGAAGGCAAGATCAAAAGAGGCAGACACAAGAAACAATTAGTAAGCAATATATTCCTCATCTTGCAAAGAAATTCAAATTATGGAAATGCTTTAAATGAGCAACTATTAAAATTATAGACTAGGAAGGAACTGATAAAACTGGTACTTTTCATTCAAGTAGTGTAATCTAACACAACTCTGGAAGTAACTTGGAACCAAATTTTTATCCTCTGCTGTAGGAACTTATTAATTTTCTCAAAACAATATAAACGCAGACATTCATTGCAGTATTTTTTATAGTAGTGAACATTTCAAACTTACTGCCCAACAATAGGGAAATGGTTAAGTACATCAGCTCGCTTATCCCTCTTCCTTTTTTCTCCTCTCCCACCAGGCTGAGGACTCCCTCTGCTTCTCCCTTACACCAGGAATGAACCTTTCCTTCCCACTCAGAGGAGGTTCTGAGAGGACTGAGGTGGGCAAACCACTGAGGATCTTCAGTGGGGGCAGAGAAAGGGCTCACTGAGATGGGGGGCAACGCTATGGCCTCAGCTTCTCCTTGGCGTCGTGTGCATGTGTTCCTGAAGCCGAAACGGAATTTAACAGGTCTGGGTCCCAGATCCATTTCCATGACTGGCCATGGGCTATCTATGATCTGTCAAAAGGGGACTTGGATTCAAGCTCTCAGATCCCCTTCCAATCTAAAACAGATTCTTTTTTTAAAAAAAATCCAAATGTGATTACGTCACTTCAGACTAAAAACTTCCAAAGGCTTCCCCCATTTGCTCTGAGGATCAAGGCCAGGGCAAATGGGAGCTCACTGCAGCCTCAACCTCCTGGGCTCAAGTGATCTTGATCTTCCCATTCCAGCCTCCTGAGTAGCTGGACTACAGGCGCATGTCCCCACACCCATTACTGCCCTCCATGATCTGGTCTGGGTCTACCCTGTGGCCTCTTCTCTCACTCTCTAAATACAGTCACATTCCTTCCTGCCCAATGGCCTGGAAACATGCGCTTTCCTGAAGGTAACTCCTTCCCCACACTTGCCTATGTTATTCAACTTTTGGGTTTCAGATGTAATGTTATTTCCTCAGAGAAGACTTCCTTGACCTCCATATACCCCAACTTGGGCTAGGTCTGCTATGTCCTCTTCATAGTACTCACCATGATTTAAGTATTTCTGAAGTTAGGTGATGCTGGTTTCCCCAGTTAACCATAAATCCAATGAGCACCATCATTTTCATTACTGTAATTTCTTTTTTTTTTAGACAGGGTCTCGCTGTTGCCTAGGTTGGAGTGTAGTGGCAAAATCGTGGCTTACTGTGGCCTCAACCTCCCGGGCCCAGGTGATCCTGATCCTCCCACCTCAGCCTCCTGAGTAGCTGGGACTACAGGCACATGCCACCACATCTGGCTAATTAAATGTTTTTTTGTAGAGATGGGCATCTCACTATGTTGCCCAGGCTGGTCTTGATCTCCTGGGCTCAAGCCTTGGCCTCCCAAAGTGCTGAGATCACAGCAGGAGCCACTACACTCAGGCAATTACCGTCATTCTAATGCAATATTTATTCCTCAATTAAACAAATGCATTTTATTCTTTTTTTTTTGAGAGGGAGTTTCGCTCTTGTTGCCCAGGCCGGAGTGCAATGGCATGATCTCGGCTCACCGCAACCTCTGCCTCCCAGGTTCAAGAGATTCTCCTGCCTCAGCCTTCCTAGTAGCTGGGATTACAGGCCTGTGCCACCACACCCGGCTAATTTTGTATTTTTAGTAGAGATGGGGTTTCTCCATGTTGGTCAGGCTGGTCTCGAACTCCTGACCTCAGGTGATCTGCCCACCTCGGCCTCCCAAAGTGCTGGGATTACAGGCATGAGCCACCGTGCTCGGCCACAAATGCGTTTTATTCTAAAATAACCCTCCTGACAAGAAAGGATCATGGATTAACACATGGAGGTGTTTACACCCTAAACCTGCCCAAAGTTCAACTTCAATGTCCAAACAATTTTTGTGTTTTTTTTGAGATGGAATCTTGCTGTCACCCAGGCTGGAGTGCAGTGGTATGATCTTGGCTCACTGCAACCTCCACCTCCAGGGTTCAAGCGATTCTCCTACCTCAGCCACCCAAGTAGCTGGGATTACAGGTGCCCACCACCACGCCTGGCTAATTTTTGCATCTTATTTTTAGTAGAGATGGGGTTTCGCCATGTTGGCCAGGCTTGTCTCAAACTCCTGACCTCAGGTGATCTGCCTGCCGTCGGACTCCCAAAGTGCTAGGATTACAGGCGTGAGCCACTGTGCCCAGCCTAAATGTCCAAACAATGTTTAATCTTCCCTAGACATATTCTAAAAAATACAGCTTGACTTTATTTTTTCTTATGGAAAGGACTGTCACTAAATGAAATGGAACTAAAATGACACCATATATACCTGAAAGTAGTGGTTAGTGGGAGGGAACGCTGGCCTGTGAAAGGTACACCCAGCAAACATATCAAGAGCAAATTAAGAGACCTGCATTTGAATCCTGGCTCTGTCTCTTCCTAGCTGTATCTCCTCTGGGAGAAGTATTTAACCTCTCTGAGCCTCAGGTTCCTTACGAGGGAGCTAACAATAACATCTACCCTGTAAGGTTATTGCTAAAATTAAATGAGAGGATCGGTGTAGAGTAGAAGTCACAATGCCAGCATATAGGGAACTCTTTTTTTTTTTTTTTTCCCTGAGAGACAGACGGAGTCTTGCTCCATCACCCAGGCTGGAATGCAGTGGCACGATCTCGGCTCGCTGCAACCTCTGCCTCCAGGGTTCAAGCGATTCTCTTTCCTCAGCCTCCCGAGTACCTGGCATTGCAGGCGCGCGCCACCACACCCGGCTAATATTTATATTTTTAGTAGAGACGGAGTTTTGCCATGTTGGCCAGGTTGGTCTTGAACTCCTGACCTCAGGTGATCCGCCCACCTCGGCCTCCCAAAGTGCTGGGATTACAGACATGAGCCACCGTGCCCGGCCCAGGGAGCTCTTAATACATATTAACTGTTACTGCTTCTTAGGATGTTAATAAGTTCTTTCCTTATGTAGGCCCTTAGGGCCCGTTTCTGAATGGCCTATGTGTAAATACAAGGACTTAACACAAGGCTATGGCCCATTCCTTGCTCTCCAGGAGTCAAATCTCGGCGATTTTGCATCAGTGGCAGCCTAAGCGTTACAGCAGGAAAGAACTCCACAAAGTGTCTCACGCTTCATTTAATCTGAAGAATATTACAGGCTCTCCGTCTTCAGATATAAATTATTTATAACGTTACAGAACAAGCAGCGAATTCAACCACTTAAGAACTAAGGAAGTCTACATGGTGTTAATTGCTGGCCACAGTCCTCCCGATCTGGTTTTTTAAAAAAGTCCCCCGGGCCCCCATTTCAGTAGACGTGCACCATGCCGTAGAGGAACGTCCAGAACAGGACGTAGGTGAAGAGGCCCCCGATGAGGCCTCCTGTAAAGAGAGGTCTCCGTGATTTGAAATATTTGTTCCACCTCCTTCCCGCCTTGAGAATGAGGAGCAGGGAGAGCAGGACGGAGGCGAGCAGGTAGAAGATGAAGCCGTAGAGGCCGGTGAGGCCGAGGATGCCGGCCGTGGCCCCCGACAGCGCTGACACCGAGGTCCGGCAATAATCCAGGACGGCGGCGTTGCCCCGCACGGCCGCCTCGCTGATGAACGGCGGCCCTTCCCGCTTGGCCACCACCGCGGCCATCGCACCAGCCCGGGCTCGGCCTCTCGCTTTCTCGCGGAACAACGCGGAGCTGCGGAGAAAACCAAGTTACAAGTGGCGCCCGGAGCTCGGTGAGTTGGGTTCACGCCGCCCCCTCCCCCTGGAGCTTCCGAGACCTGGCACCAGTCCTGGGCCTCGGATCTTCCAAAGACGCCGAGGAGATTGAGGGTCCGGGCCGGCCGGGAGGTGGTGGCGCGTCTGCGTTCCCCGGCCACGGTGGCCCAGTTACCTGGAACACGGCGCCGGACACACTACTTAGCGTTCCCTCAGACGGGCAGTGGAAGAAATGCCCGCGGCGCCATCTTGCTCGGAAGACTGCCGGGAGGTCTCGGGCTGCGCACGCGCCCAGATCCCGCCCCGCCCTCCGCGCCTGCGCCGTGGGCGCCCCGGACACGCTCCGCCCTCTGCCCGCTTTTCTGCGCACGCGCAGGGACTTCCGAAAGCGGAGTGGCGCTCCGGCCAGTGATTGGCTGGAGGTTTGTTAACTATTCATGAGGGGGCGGGCCGAGCGGGGCGGCCTTTGTTAAGCAGCGAGGGCGCGACCGCGGGTACTCTGCTGCCGGCTTCTCGGAGCGGCGCTGGGCGACCAGAGCAGGGTCGAGATGTCCTACATCCCGGGCCAGCCGGTCACCGCCGTGGTGGTGAGTGCGCTTGCGCGGGCTCCTCCTCGTCTTGGCCTGACCCCACCTCGCAGAGCGGGAAACGGACACCCCAAGCAGGTTGACAGAGCATCGAACCCGGGGCTCCTGCGAACCGGCGGCAAGGGCTCGGGTCCCCGCTTTGCCGGAGCGGGCCGCAGTTCCCCCAGCCACGAAACAGGGATGGCCGGGACCCGAGAGCCTCCCGAGACCCTGGACAGAGCCCAGACTGCGTGCGCAGGGCGGGGAGGGCCACGGGGAAAGGCCTGGCTGCAGGAGCCTGGAAAAGCGCCCCCTTCCCGGGCCTCCGTGTCCCCAGACGGGGAGCTGCTGGGGGCGGGCGCCGATCCCGACGTCCATGAGTCGCAGCCTCTGGAATGAGGAAATGCTTCCTCCGCTGCAGCCTGCGCCGCCGCCCGGAGGGAGATCTGGGGGTGGGGCTCTCCCGAGCCTGCCGTGGCAGCCCCTGCCCCCTTCCTGTCCAGCCTTGCTCCTCCAACCCACTCGCCGCCTGGTCCAGGGTGGACGCTCGTATAGCTGCGATGAGCGTTTCCTCTTCGAACTTTTCCTGGGTCTCCAGCCCTTAAGGCAAAAAAGTCCAGGCCTCCCTCCTGGCACTTGAGTCCTGAGTAGACCCTCCGGGGGCTAGCCTAGGCCCCTGGCCGCCCTCTGGCTTGTTTTAGGTGCTGGGTGCTATTAGACTAGGCAGAGGGAGGAAGGAAGGCTGGGACGTTAGACTCAGACGCCGGTGTCACAGAGGGACACAACCCTATGACAGAGGTGGGGAGTCCCAGAGAGAAGTGCTCAGCCAGAAAAGACCACCTCAGGAAAGACTCAGGTCTCCTGCCTACCTCCCGACAGCGTTCAGAGAATGAGAAGAAATGCCTGCCCGGTGGGCAGTAGGTCAAGCGAAAGTCCCCGCCCTGGAGCCATAGGGACTGGGTGTGTTATCTCAGTTGGGTGTGCTGGAGAAGCTCCAGCAATCAGGTGGGTGGAGGCAGAGAAGCCACTGATAAAGGCGACAAGTGAGGCTGAGCTTAGAGCACTGGCTCAGGCCTGGGCCAGGAGGAAACATTGCTGGACCAGCTGACAGCTGTCCTAAGCTTCACCCTCCCTGCACCAGCTTGACTTTTTTTTTTTTTTTTTTTTTGAGACAGTCTTGCTCTGTCGCCCAGGCTGGAGTACAGTGGCGCGATCTCGGTTCATTGCAACCTCCGCCTCCTGGGTTCAAGCGATTCTCCTGCCTCAGCCTCCCGAGTAGCTGGGATTACAGGCATGCACCAGCATGCCCAGCTAATTTTTGTATTTTTAGTAGAACGGGGTTTCACCATGTTGGCCAGGCTTGTCTTGAACTCCTGACCTCTGGTGATCCACCTGCCTCAGCCTCCCAAAGTGCTGGGATTACAGGCGTGAGGCACCACACCCGGCCCAGCCTGGCTTTTTTAGATCCCTACCTGCCCCAGAGAGAAGGCACCAGGTTTGCTCTTTAGGTAGAAGGGGGGCAGGGACAGGTGAGGAGCTACAGCAAGCCACCTTCTGCGTGACCTCACCCAGCAAATCAGTGACAGCCCTGTCTCCCAACCCAAGGGCCTGTAATCTTCTGACCGTGCCGGCAGAGCAGGCCTGGAGGAGCTCAGTTTGGGGCATGAGGACCCAGGCACAGTAGGCCTCATGCTTCCTGCCCCCCTCCCTCACGCCATAACTGGTCCCAGGGCCTTCCCCAAAACTGCAGGCCCATGCCCCCTAATTCTGGTAACACCAGGAACGTGCCTGGACATGGTGTGTATGGTCTGGCCTCTCCCTCGAGTCTTGGATTGGGGATGGGTTTGGGCAGGCTCACTCCCCAGTCCCCACCCTCTCCCATGTAGAATCCTGAGAATATTAAAGACATTTAGGCCATTCTTCTGAACCCTGGCTCCATAGATCCATCTGCCTTCTGGACACCTGCCCCGCAGCTCCTGGCACTCCAACCTAACCTGCTCCTCCTCCTCCTGGGTCCCCATCTGAATAATGTGTGTTCAGCCAGGCACGGTGGCTGGGTGCTCCTCTTGACTCCTCTCCTCCATGAGTGGTCCCTAAGTCTGTAGATCTCCATTTTCAGGTAGCTCCATGTCCCCCGGCCTCTGCACCTTGCTTTTGTGAGATGTCCGTTCCTCTACTGATTACCTGAGTGGTCATTCTAGCAGCAAACCTGACCATGCCCTACCCTACTCCGTTCCTGAGAACTCCAGTGGGTTCAGGATCAAGGTCAGGCTACCCATCACCCCCTCAAAGCCTGGTGCAAATAATCCTCCCTTTGGGAAACTTCTTTAGGTCTAGTCTAGATTGTGGTCTTCTGCTTTTTTCTTTTCTCCTTCCTGTTAAAACTTGACTTTGGGAGTGATCTGGTCTGGCTCCCAGCATCTGCTGACTGGACGGCGCTTGCCAAGGGCTTTGAAAAGAACCTGGCACAGTTGGGGACCATAGCCCCAGAGCATGGTGGGAACACCCCAGAGCATGGTGGGAATGCCCCAGAACACTCGTTTCTGCACAAGAGCAGGGTCTGGGGCTTAGGGAGACACCCCTGCTCCCCTTCCAGGACGGGATCTGGCCCCAGCCTTACACTTTCAGCCTCATCTCGCCTCCCAGTTCTGTGTCCTGCACTGGACACTCCAGTCTCACGAACACGTATCCACGGCACCCTGTGCGCTGGTCCCCGTGGCCGGCAAGCCCTTCCTCTCCTTTCTTTTTTTTTTTTTTTTTTTTTTTGGAGCCCAGAGATCCTTTATTTTTTTTTGTTTAACACCTATTATGCCATGAATTCATAGGGAATAGGTTCCAGCAGCTCAGGCGCCTTCCCGTTGGTTCTCACAAAGTGTGCTTCCCTGGGTGGAGCAGGCTGGTGCTTTAGTTGAACCCAGGTACCTTTCTCTTTGGCTTCTTTCTTTTTCTGATCATTTTCCTTCACGCGTTCCAGGAAGCTATCTCGGCTCTTAGAGTGCTTTATGTGCTCAATACGCACATTAATTCTCTTGGCAAGAATCTTGCCCTTAACTTGTTTGTTTACAACAATGCCAACAGCATGCTGGGGAACATTGTAGACTCTTCCAGTTTTGCCATGGTAACCCTTGTGGGGCATTCCTTTTTGAACAGTACCCATTCCCTTGATGTCTACAGTATCACCTTTCTTATAGATTCGCATATATGTGGCCAAAGGAACATCTCCATGTTTTCTAAAAGGCCTAGAGAACATATATCCGGTGCCTCTCCTCTTTCCCTTTGTGTTCGTCATTTTGGCGAATTACTGGAAGATGGCGGTTCCGGCCGAAAGGAAACCCCTTCCTCTCCTTTCTATGCAAGTTTGATCTCTGCTTTTCCAGAGCACCTCCTGTGAGACGGGCTTCCCACCTACAGAAGCCACAGCACCTGGACTCTTGGGCCAGCAGGGGCTTCCACCACATGTTGACCAAGACTAGTGCCTAAGACTAACAGGGGAAGTGGGGACAGGTTGAGGACACAGGGCTGTGTGGGTGGATCAATGTGGCCAAGTTCTGAGTGCCAGCTCCTCAGCCTCCCAGGCTGGTGAGCAGCTGGATTCCTGCAGGGGCCTGGGACCCAGCCCCTTGTCATGGCTCTGAGGCTGCTGCTGGGAACACCCACCAGCCTAATTCTCCAACCACCCACTTCTCTCAACTGGCTTTTTTCTTTGCCAGCAAAGAGTTGAAATTCACAAGCTGCGTCAAGGTGAGAACTTAATCCTGGGTTTCAGCATTGGAGGTGGAATCGACCAGGATCCTTCCCAGAATCCCTTCTCTGAAGACAAGACGGACAAGGTGAGGGGGTCTGGGGTCCTGGGACCGCTCCATGGGGCACAGGGGCCTGAGATGGTGGGTCTCTGCTTCCTGGGCCTGCATGGAAGGAACAGACTTCATCTCTCAAACCATGCTCTCTAAGAAGGCATCGGAAGTGACCTAGTGAGAATAAGGACGGGTGGGGTGAGGAAGGGCTGCTCAGACAGAGCCCAGGAGGAGCAGGAGGCGGCCATCAGCAGGGCCGGTGCATGGTGGTGCAGCAACTCTGCCCCGGCTCTCTCAGAACAGTCCTCACTGACCATATGTGCTGGGAGAGGCTGGGTGCAGGGACAGAGGGACGGCTGAGAATGTGCCATGCTGGCTTCCGCTGTGTGATAAGGGGCCAGTCCAGTGACCACAGGGCTTGACTTGGGCTGCCCCTTTCCAGGGTATTTATGTCACACGGGTGTCTGAAGGAGGCCCTGCTGAAATCGCTGGGCTGCAGATTGGAGACAAGATCATGCAGGTAACAGGTGTCCCAAAGGAGGAGAAACAAGGTTTGGGCAAGCAGGTCTGAAGCACTTGGGGGTGGGGAGCTGCCCCAGCCTCCCAGCTGGGAGAGACTCACTGCAGCCAATTGGGAACCCATACTGGCATTGCCCCAGAGGACGCTGGCTTTCTCTCCTGTGTGTCTCAGCCACAGTGCTTGGTGTCTCCCAGCCCTGGGATGTTAGGCTGGGGGCCTACTTGAATGACCTGGGCCCCCAAAGCCCTCTGCTTCCAGATCCCAGAGGGCGGGGAGCTGAGGTGAGCCTGTGTTCTCTCCTGGGGCCAGGTGAACGGCTGGGACATGACCATGGTCACACACGACCAGGCCCGCAAGCGGCTCACCAAGCGCTCGGAGGAGGTGGTGCGTCTGCTGGTGACGCGGCAGTCGCTGCAGAAGGCCGTGCAGCAGTCCATGCTGTCCTAGCAGCCACCACCATCTGCGACTCCTGCCTGCCGCCTCTCTGTACAGTAACGCCACTTCCACACTCTGTCCCCATCTGGCTTCTGCTGACCGCTGGGCCCCAGCTCAGAAGGGCTATAGCTGGTCCCAGAGGCCTGGCCTGGCCTTCCTTCCCTTCTCCCATCCCTGGCCTGGGGCCTCTGGGACCGGCTTTCTCTCCTGGACACCGAGGATTGGAAATAAGGGCCTGGAGCTGAGTAGTAGCCAGTCTGCTGTGACCACAGGCTCAGGTCCGACCCTGCTGCTTGGCCACAGCAGTGGCTGGGCAAGTGGGAACCACTATCTCTTGGGAGCCCCCAAAAGCTGGGAAATGCTGGAGGAACCAGGCCTTTCCCGCTTTTGCCTGGCTGCAGGGTTCGGCTCCGCCCCTGCCCCCCAGCCCTCGTGTGTCCACACCGCAGTGCCTCTGCCCCTCGGGGGACTGGACACACATCCTGCCAGAGGCGCTACGAAGCTTTGCCCAGATGAAGCCAGGTGGGCTCCGCGTTCACTCCCACTCTCCCGAGGGGTGCTGGCCTCCCCAGGGTTTGCCTTCTTACGGATTTAGACGAGGTTCGAGGCTCACCTATCAGGGCAGCTCTCAGGATTGTCATTTTCCTCTTTGCCTGTGGGTTTAACTTTTGTATTTTTTTAATCACAAGTTTGATACAAAATGTTTTTATCGTACTCTTTGGAGATGCCCATTCTACTTTTGAATTTAGCTTTTACTAATTCGCATCTGGAAGCTCAGCAAGTGCACAAGCCTTACTTTGGTTACCGTGGAAACCACTGCCGCCCCTCCCCGATGTGGTGCGCTCAATAAAAATGCTGGAATTCACAGGGGGCTTTGCTGAGGCATGGGCTGGGATATCGGGGTGGGGGTGGCGGTGGGATATTGGGGCCAGAGCTGTGGTTTTAATGATGGCCCCATCCCCCACTGTTCTGGGACAAAGCTCAACTACTCCCAGGCCCACCTGCCTGAAAGCCCGGGGCTGGTGGAGCCGCAGCAGCTGCACTGCGCCTGACCAGAACCACATCTGTGGGAGTGTCTGGGAGCACTGGGGTGGGACCCTGGGGTGCGTGTGCTTTCTTGGGTGTTACTGTGAAGCCCCTACTTGCTCCCAACCTCCTTTTTGCAACCTAGCCTCAGCTCCCACCTGGGAGGGGCCGTAGGGACACCCAGAGGTGCCTGGGAGAGACCCCTGCCTATAAGACTCCCTGCCTATAAGGGCACTCCGTGTATCCCAGCGAGGGACACAACCCCACGTGTTGCTGGGGGCCGTGATCTGGCCAGATGGGGGTGAGTCAGAGAGCACCTGACTACCTGCGTACCACCTCTGGGAAGGTGTTAGCACTCCTGGACCTACCTAGCACTGCCAAATCAGATTTTAAAGAAAAGTCAATAATTTTTTTTTTTTTTTGAGATGGAGTTTCGTTCTTGTTGCCCAGGCTGGAGTGCAATGGCGTGATCTTCGCTCACTGCAACCTCCGCCTCCTGGGTTCAAGTAATTCTCCTGCCTCAGCCAACCAAGTAGCTGGGATTACAGGTGCCCGCCACCATGCCCAGCTAATTTTTGTATCTTTAGTAGAGATGGGGTTTTGCAATGTTGGCTAGGCTGGTCTCGAACTCCTGATGTCAGGTGATCCATCTGCCTTGGCCTCCCAAAGTGCTGGGATTACAGGCGTGAGCCACCGCACTCAGCCGGAAAAGTCAATCATTTGAAATCTCTGATTTTTAAAGTAGGGCACCCAGTAACACATTTACTGGGTGTTGCAAGTGAAACAGGTCTGTGGACCCCGTCAGGCCAAAGTCTGCTCTGCAGAAACAAGACCTGACATTCTTTGACGTTTGTTACAACTAGATAGAGGAAGCGTCTGGAGAATAAGACCCCCACTGCCCCCGCTCCCAGTGCTGGTGTGCCCTTCAGAACCTCATCCACCCCGGCTCACATCCAGATTGAGTGGCGTGCCCTGGTAACCGTGAAGACACGGAGCCTGGGAGACTGACCTGGCCCTGGGCGGGTAGGCGTCTCGCGCTACCCAAGAGGGCTCCCCAGTGAAGTGTGGGGTCAGCACGCAGCGCTCTCGGGTCAGTGACCTTCACAACCTTATGCGCTTCCTTACACGAGGGGAGCAGGGCACCTGGCTCTGAAGGCCAGCACACCTGCCTTCTGTATCGAGCACACAGAGTGCAGAAAGGAAGCGAGTAGGTTTTAATTCAAGATACAGGCCCCTCGCGTTGATCTCGTAGAAGGAAACTCAGTGGACTGACAAGCTCAAGTCATGTATGAGGCACGTCCTGGGACCCCCACCCCTCCTGCCATAGGAAGGACAGCTTTGGGCAGAGGGAAGGAGGTTTGAGATCAGGGTTGGGCCCATACAGATTGTGTGAGGTGGTCTCAAGTACAAATACTTATCTGAGGCTCCTGAACAGGCCAGAAATTGGTGAGTCTCAAGTAGGTGTCTGGGGAAAGAGAGGGAAGGGGCCTGCCCTCGCTCCAGGGGAGCTGGTCGCCGTTTGGCAGGCCTAACAGACCTCTAAGGCACAGACTGGTAGCAGGAGAGAGCTATGTCCTGTACTCCAGATGCTGGGTAAGGAGCAGCTGGATGTGCTCAGATGGGGCTAATCTGAGAAGGTGGAGGTAGGAGAGAGGGCAGAAGAGAGTAAGCCACTTCCAAACGTCCCTCCAAAAAATCTGAAAGGAGTTACTATGCTAATGCGCTGGGCATGAATCCAATTCAGAACCAATCTGGTGGGCCCCTCATGGCTCAGAAATACTCTGGGTAGGGCTGGCTGTTACTGCAGTCACGGACGCTGAGTTATGTACAGAGAGTACGTCAGGAAAGTGGCCTTCAGAGAAAGAGCCCCATGGCCTAACCCCAAAGTCCTAGCCCGTCCACCAGCACCTCTGAGTTCACTGGCCACGGCACCGGGCTGCTTGATCTCTGGGAATGCAGCGGTGGCAGCAAAGTGCCCTTGGCTCACCCGGCTGCAAGGTCAGCCCTTCAAGCTGCTTGCAGAAACGCTGGTAGTTTGGGGCAAGGCCTTCGGCTGCAAGCTTGGTGCCCAGTCCTGCCTGAGACGGCTGCCAGAGCCTGTGCGCGCTGCCTGAAGCCTTAAAGAAAAGAGATGGCGGTGTCAAGGCGACGGTGCCACGTGCCTGGCCGGGGAGGCCCAGGAGGGGCCCGGACGAAGGCAGGCTATTGAATGGCCTCTGGCCCCAGGAGCAGAGTGGTCTCCTCTGTCCGCACACTGAGCCAGCCCTGTGTGCCAGGGCCCAACCGCTTCTCCGGCCTTCGCTGGGTGAGGCCTTCCCCAGCAGGGCACGAGGCCAGAGGCTGGGTACACTGGGTCCCTGGGTGCTAGTTCAGCTGGTCATACCCCGGTCTCTTTCTGTACAAACAGAAGTGCTGGATGAAGAAGACGACGTCGAAGACGATGGAGAAGACCCCGAGTCCAAACTTGGTTGGGTCTCCGAAGATCAGCGTCCACTGGTCTGTTAGCAGCCGGGGGACAGAAGCTGGTGTTAGGTTGGCAGCTCCTGAGGCAGCTGGAGCTTGTGGGGTGGTGGGCGGTGGGGGTCCCAGAAAACCACAAAGCCTCCAGCTACGAAGGCCCCTAGGTGGGTCTCTCCTTGGGGGCTGGATTGGCTTGGATCCCAGGTGGGGGTGGAGCCCTGGCTGGAAGGTCCCGGGAAGGCTGGCCCCGCCCGATGCCCCAGCCGCAGGGTGGCCAGCAGCCCGCTGGCTGACTCACCGTTGTTGTAGGACTGGAGGAACATCTGCAGGAGGCTGAAGCTGCCCCCGGTGAAGTCCAGGAGCACGTTGCCAATGCTCCAGCCCTCAGTGCTTTTGTAGTAAAAGTTCATGTAGGCCTGGGCCAGACAGACGGACAGACAGACGGAGGGCGGTGAGGGCTGGGCGGCTGCCTCATGCGCCTCGTGACTGCCCCTCCAAACAAAAGCGGTTCTCATTCCTCCCACTGGGGCCTTGGCTCCAAGGACACGGTGACCTTTGGGCTATGACAGGCCTCAGCCAAGGAACAGTTTGGGTGGTCCTGGGGGTAGGCGTCTCATCTGCATGTACAGCAAGCAAAGGCCCCGCACCCCCCACACCTCACAGCTCCAGCAGAGGCGGGGCCGATGCGGCCTTCCCCGTCTCCTCCACATCCCTGGGGCCAAGGCCCTGTGCTAGTTTCCCTGTAGCTATGATTCTTCTTCTCACCTCCAGGCAAGGCTGTCCCCAAACTCAGCCTGGACTTCATGTGCTTAGGGACTGGTGGGAGTGGGACTTCTGGTTTGGAATCCTGGCTCCATCACCGGAGCCTGCTGTCTTGGGCAAGTGACAGTTCTCCTAGCCTTGGTTTCCCCGTCTGTAGAGCGGGGTTAACGCCCCCCACAGGCCTGGCCGGGGCTTCCTGGGTCTGGTTGGGGGGGCGGGTCTGCGGGGATGCGCCCCAGTCTGACTGCCTGTGCCCCACGTCCTCCCATGCTGCAGAGCCCTGTGGGTCCTCTGACTGCTGTGACCTTTCCTTCCCCCCGTGAGGCAGGTCCTGGCCTCTCTGGTGGCCTCCCAGTGAGCCTCTAGTCAGTCCCTGTCTGTGTCCCGGCTCACCCTCTTCCGTACTTGCTGCTGCCCCTCCAGCAGTTCCAAACGTCTCCAACCTGGGCTCCTCCATCCCCGGTTTCTTGGCCCCAATCCCTCCCACCCTCAGGGACTGGGGCCCACTTCCCCAAACCTTCCCCTCCTCGGAAGCCCCCCCCAGCTCCCGGGACCTGACCCCAGCTTCCCAGCTTCAACATGCTCAACACTGTTCAACCAGCCACATCCCCTCACTGCCGCCCCGTGTCCCGCCCCAGCCTCTGTGCAGGCTGGCCTGGCCCGGAACGCCCGGGCTCCTTGGCCACAGAACTTAGTCCTGCTCAGCCTAAGAGTCCAGTCCTGCCTCCCAGTCAGAACGCTGGCCCTCCTGAGCTCACAGAACACGAGGCTCCCAGGGCTGGGGGCACTGGAACAAGGCTTCTCCCTTTGGGAATGGGGTGAGTTAAATGAGGCCCTAGGTCCCCGGGTGCAGCAACTTCAGCCCTGACCCTGTCCCAGGCTGTGGGGCAAGATGTGCTGGACCCTGAGTCCCCGGATCTGAAGAGGACCGGCTATGCTCATAGGACGGGCTGAGCTCTGCGCGGGAAGGGGCTCCCTCCTCCCACCTCACCTCTCCAGAGTGTCCTGCTGTGGAAATGGAGGCAGTGGTGAGGGCAGAGCCAAAGGCATCAGGAAAGGCTGGGGTGTGGAGAAGGGGAACCACCCGCACACCTGATGCTTAGGGGAGCGTGGGGTCCAAGGGGCCTCCGCTAGCGATCTCCTGTGATTCCAGCCCCGGGGGAAGAGCGGCAGGCTGGCCTCCCCACCGCCCCGCTCCCGCTGGGCTCCCGGGCTCCCTGTGGCTTTCCGTCCTGTTTCCTCACGCCGGCAGGAGCTGCCCCACCGGAGCAGGGCCTGGGCCATGTAGCTCTCACCTCTCCTGCCACCGGCCATGTGAACAGGGCCCTGGAGGTACCTGTGGAAAATACTTGACCAGCGTGACTGCGAGCTTGATGTAGGAGAAGCAGAAGAGAAACTGCAGCCACGTGGTCACTCCCACTGCAGCCACGATCATGGTGACAAATGCGAAGAGCCACGCGAGCACCAGGAAGCCGATGGCAGGCCAGGACACGCGCTGGCCACCGCGCTGGGGGCGAGAGGAGGGCAGAGATGTGGACCCACACAGAGGCCACGCCGGGGCTGAGCAAGGACGGCCCCGGATAGGGCGGGCTTAGAGAGGGGCACGGAGGCTGGACCCTGGCCTTGAAGGAGCCCCTGCAAGGTGGGGGCTGCACTGGGGTTGTGGCAGGGGAACATGTGGACCACAGAAAGCATCACACCTGGGCTGGTGCTGGACATCCCCAGCACCAACCACACCTTCTCATCGCCAGGGCCTCCTGTTCAGGCTGCTTGGACTCTCAAGCTCTGTCTGCTTTGTTCCTACTTGGCAGAACTGGGCGCCTCTCAGCACTCACTTGGAGACGTGGGGTCGGAACTCTGGTGGCCTGGTGCCTCTCCCAGCCAGGTACTGACTCGTCCCACGACCCGGCAGCAGCCTGAGGATCTCAGGAATCTGTCCCCTCGCCTTGCCTTTCCCTGAACACGGGCCCAATGTGGGCCACCTTCACTCTCGCTTCACACCAAAAGCTAAGAAAGCCTAGAAGGTTCATACGGGTGGGGCCAGACAGCCCCCAGCTGGCCTTACAGTGTGAAGGGAACTCCCTGAGAGAAGGGAAAGCAAAGCTGTCATATCAGGGGTCCCCGGACCCAGCCTTGGTGGGGCCCTGCCCTGCCGACACCCATGGCTTCCAGCAACAAAGCTGAATACAGGTGTCTCCGCCTGCACGCGGGCCCCCTCCTGGCACCCTGAAGCCCAGCTGCACCCGCCTGCTCAGGGTCCCTCTCAAATGCCCCTTGGCCTCTGTGACCTGACCCCTCCAGGAGCCCACCCTGGCCCCTCCCCTCCTCCATAGGAACTTCACTCATCCTTGGAGCCCAACCAAGCGTCTTCCTCTGCCCTCCTCCCTTCTGTGCCCTCCTCCCTCCTCCCTTCTGTGCCCTCCTCCCTCCTCCCTGGCAGGGCTCAGGGCCTTGCACTCCTCCATGAGCTGTCTGTGCTCCTCTGTGCACGGCTCTCAGCCTGAGTCCAGGCACTGCCTCTCCCTGAGTCCCTCACCCCAGACTTGGGGGGCTCTGAGGGCCTGGACTCATGGGTGTCTTCTATGCCCAGCACAGGACCTGGATGAATGAACACACACCCTTCCTTTCCCAGGCTCTGCCGTGTCTTCTGTCAAAGGTGAGGTGGGGTGGCGGGTGTTGGCTGGGGTGGCCTGTGGGGGGCCAGGGCTGGTCTCACCTCATACAGGCAGCACTGCACGATGATGATCAGCGTGAGGACAACCGCGTGCAGGCTGAAGAAGACGTCGTTGCTGTTCACGGGGTTCACTCCGTTGGGGTATTTGAGGAGAAACTGCTCCTGTTTGGTGGGTGGGAGAAGCTGGGTGGTGAGGGGCAGCCGGGCCACCACGCCATGTGGGCAGAGATGTAGGGCAGGCAAGGCCGTACCTTGATGTAGGGCACCCAGAGGAGGCCGATGTTGAATACACTGTAGGCCACGAAGCCCGTCAGGTTCAGAGCCACGAAGTCGAAGCTCAGACCAATGACACTGCAGGGGGTGGAGGGACAAGACAGGGCAGGGGGTGAAGACTGGCAGGGGTGGAGGGACAGGGCAGAGGGTGAGGACTGGCGGGGGTGGAGGGGCAGGGCAGAGGGTGAGGACTGGCGGGGGTGGAGGGGCAGGGCAGGGTGGGGGGTAAGGACTGGCGAGGGGTGGTGGGGCAGGGCAGGGGGTGAGGACTGGCAGGGGTGGAGGGGCAGGGCAGGGGTGAGGACCCCAGGGGGTGAGGACTGGTGGGGGGTGGAGGGGCAGGGCAGTGGGTAAGGACTGGCGGGGGTGGAGGGGCATGGCAGGGGGTGAGGGCTGGCGGGGGTGGAAGGGCATGGCAGGGCCAGGGGCGAGGACTGGCGAGGGGTGGAGGGGCAGGGCAGGGGGTGAGGGCTGGCGGGGGTGGAAGGGCATGGCAGGGCCAGGGGTGAGGACTGGCACCACTGTGGGGAATGGGAGGGACAGGGCTCCCAGGCCACGGGGAAGGAGGACTCGGCCCTTCTCAAGCAGGGTACTGTCCTTAGGTCCCTCCTGCTACCACCACGGATGCCACCTAATCCCTGCCCTCTTGAAGAGCTACTTCCCTCCTCCCTTCCTCCCCTGCCCAAGATCTCCCTGCCCCTCAAGTCCTGGCTCCAGAGGGGAGTCAGGAGGCCCCCGGAAGAAAGCGTCTCCCTCCCGGCTCTCTGCTTGCCATCACCCAGGAGGCCGACGTGGCCAGGGTGACTGCAGGACAGCTTGTGTCTTTGCAAGTCAAGGTGGGACAGCTTCGTCCCAAAGACCGAGACTACAGGACTTGACGCCGCAATCCTCCAGGGTCGGATGGACCCAGCGCAGAGGAGATTCACGATGGACTGCCCTCCCTCCCCCGCCCATTCTCCACTAAACTAAGGAGCCCCTTTTCCCTGTTTTCCTGCTTTCCCAGGGAGGGGCTGAGCTGGGCAAGGGATGAAACGCCCAGCACGGGAATCCGACCCAGGCTCTCCGAGCCTTCGCACTGGGACAACTTTCTGGAAAGGGTAGGCAGACAGAAGGGTAGAGGGGACGTTGGAGGCTGCGCTATCGGCAGCCTTGCTGGAACGCCCTGCTCCTAGGGGCCCCGAGAGAGCCTGCACATACGGCCCAGGGGGTTACCTTTTCCGCCTCCAATTCATGATCACCTGAGGGTAGAAGGAGATGGACCAGGCCACAAAGTAGATCCAGCCAATCACCTGGTTTATGATGCTAATGGCGCTGCTGCGGATCACAAGAAAGCGTATCCTCGGGCTGGAAAGGAGTTTGGGGACCGGGATGAGCTGAGGCTGGGCTTCTGAAGGAGACTCCCACGTGCCCAGCACGGCCCCCTTCTTGTCACGTGAGGCCCGCACACCCTGAGGCCAGCCTACCCGGTCTGATTGGAGTGATTTCCATGTAGATAAACAGTAAGTTGTCCAACATTTTGAGATGTCACTTGAAAAGAGGAGTTTGTCACTCCAGGAGGCACCACAACCTGTTAGGAAGACTGAGGTTCAATCCGATGCCACGTACAGTTACCGAGGACCCCGCTGGCATCTAGCTCTATGCAACACGCTAGGGAACGGAGGGACGCACCACCCGCAGCCTCACCTTCCAAGAGCTTACTAAGCAAAAGGAGAGACGCTGCGCCCACCAGCCAACTTGAACCTCCTGTTCGCCATGCTGCCCAGGCTGGTCTCGAACTCCTGAGCTCAAGCAATCTACCCGCCTCAGCCTCCCAAAGTGCTGGGATTATAGATGTGAGCCACCGCGCCTGGCCTGAGTGAGACTTTCCTTTTTTTTTTTTTTTTTGAGACGGAGTCTCGCTCTGTCACCCAGGCTGGAGTGTAGTGGAGTGATCTCGGCTCACTGCAACCTCTGCCTCCCGAGTTCAAGCGGTTCTCCTGCCTTAGGCTCCTGAGTCCCGAGTACCTGGGATTACAGGTGTGCGCCACCATGCCCAGCTAATTTTTGAATTTTTAGTAGAGATGGACTTTCACTATGTTGGCCAGGCTGGTCTCGAACTCCTGACCTCAGGTGATCCGCCCACCTCGGCCTCCCAAAGTGCTGGGATTACAGGCATGAGCCACCATACCTGGCCTGGGTGAGACTTTCTGAGCAGAGCTATGGACTTGTCCTCATGCCCTCCCCTGGCTTATCTCTGAGGGAAGGAGGGATGGCTCTCGTCCTCTTACTGGACATGTCACCTTGGGCAAGTTATTCAAGCTCTGATCTCAGTTTGCTCATCTGTAAAACGAGTTAACAAAAGTGTCTACCCTTCAGGGCTGCCATGAATGACAGGATGTTCAGAAAGCTGACAGCACAGAGCCTGGTGCATGGCAAACGGGGCCACTGCTATACTACAATACCATCACTTCCACTTCCATCATCACTGGGCTCCTCCTTGTCCACAAAACCATGTGTGCCCTGTGCCAGCCTGGCTGCCAAGTGACAAAGCAGAGGAGGCACATACATGAGGCACTTGGCAAAGAGGGCATTTTCACCCTTGCTGCTCTGCAATATTTGGCAAATGCTCTGCTTCAAGGAAAGTACCCGGAGGCCTGCCTACAACATCTGATCTCCCAAGCATGCCTGCTGAGACTTTATTTTTCCCCCGAGATGGAGTTTTGCTCTTGTTGCCCAGGCTGGAGTGCAATGGCGCGATCTCAGCTCACTGCAAACTCCTCCTCCTGGGTTCAAGCGATTCTCCCGCCTCAGCCTCCCGAGTAGCTGGAATTATAGGCGTGTGCCACCACGTCTGGCTAATTTTTGTATTTTTAGTAGAGACGGGGTTTCACCATGTTGGTCAGCCTGGTCTCAAACTCCCAGCCTCAAGTGATCCACCCACCTTGGCCTCCCAAAGTGCTGGGATTACAGGTGTGAGCCACCGCACCCAGTGCTTCCTGAGACTCTTAAATCCTGCTGCAGTGATGGGGAGCAGGATGATATCCTTACTGAACCCAGCTGTCTCCCCTGGTCCCCAGCTTCTGTGCTCCCTGGATAATACTCCACCCATATTGCAGGTACCGTGAGGATCTGGCTCATTAGACTGCAGTGGTTTCCTATTATTATATATGTTTTGAGATGGAATCTCACTCTGTTGCCAGTCTGGAATGCAGTGGCATGATCTTGGCTCACTGCAATCTCCGCCCCCAGGGTTCAAGTGATTCTCCTGCCTCAGCCTCCTGAGTAGTTGGGATTACAGGTGCCCACAACCATACCCAGCTAATTTTTTGTATTTTTCGTAGAGATGGGGTTTCGCCATGTTGGCCAGGCTGGTCTCGATCTTCTGACCTCAGGTGATCCACCCGCTTCGGCCTCCCAAAGTGGTGGGATTACAGGCGTGAGCCACCATGCCCGGCCTTCCGAGAGGCAGGTCTTGCTCTGTAGCTCAGGCTGTAGTGCAGTGGTGCAACTATAGCTCACTGATCACTCCAACTCCTGGGCTCAAGCGATCCTCCCGCCTCAGCCTCCTGAGTAGCTGGGACTACAGGCGCTCTACCACATCCTTCAGTGGCTTCTTAATGAGGACCCTTGAAGCACTGCCTTCTTGTTCTTAGCATCAGAAATCAGGGGCTTTGGCAGGACAACTGAAATGGTATAGCGGCTGCAGCAAAGCCTGGAGTCCAACTTACGTCCACGTCTCACAAGGTACATCTTCATAACATGTGCCACTCCTGGCTCTTTTATTTTCCTGCCACTCACTTTTTCTTATTTTTAACAGATATTCCTTGCAACGTTGCTTGCATATTTGTTAAGTGGCCACTAAATCCCTTCTGGAACTAGGCAGGGAGAAAATCAGTCGATTGACCGATACAAGACAGAATGAAGTGATAATCGCTACCTTTCACTGAGTGCTTTCTATGTGCCAGGGACAATCCTAGACATTTTTTATTTTTTTAGATGGAGTTTTGCTCATGTCACCCAGGCTGGAGTGCAATGGCATGATTTCGGCTCGCTGCAACCTCTGCCTCCCGGGTTCAAGTGATTTTCCTGCCTCAGCCTCCTAAGTAGCTGGGATTACAGGTACTTGCCACCACGCTTGGCTAATTTTTGTATTTTTAGTAGAGACTGGGTTTCATCATGTTGGCCAGGCTGGTCTTGAGCTCCCAACCTCAGGTGATCTGCCTGCCTCGGCCTCCCGAAGTGCTGGGATTACAGGCATGAGCCACCGTGCCCAGTCAATCCTAGACATTTTATACTTGTTTGTGCTTTTAATCTTCACAAGGCTGTCAAGTAAACATTATTCACTGTACAGCTACGAATAAGGAGACGGTGCTATATTGGGGTGAAGTGCCTTACCCAAGGCTCACAGGCCTGGCTCCTAGACCACTCAACTCCCATGTTCTAACCAGAGGCTTCCAGCATCACGGGTAGTAGAGGGGAGTGGTGAGAGTTGGGTGGGGAAGGGCCAGTGAGGCAGGAGCCTGAAAAGGTAGGTTGGTGCCCATCAATGCCATCTCACACCAATGGTTTGACTCTCATTGTTAAAGACTTTTCTTTTCTTTTCTTTTTTTTTGAGACAGGGTCTCATTCTGTCACCCAGGCTGGAGTGCAGTGGCGTGATCTCAGCTCACTGCCACCTCTGCCTCCCGGGTTCAAGTGATTCTCCTGCCTCAGCCTCCTGAGTAGCTGGGATTATAGGCGCACACCACTACCACCTGGCTAATTTTTGTATTTTTAGTAGAGACGGGGTTTCACCATGTTGGCCAGGCTGGTCTTGAACTCCTGACCTCAGGTGATCCGCCCACCTCGGCCTCCCAAAGTGCTGGGATTACAGATGTAATCCCACGGTGCCCAGCCTCTCACTGTTGAAGACTTTTTTAAAAACTGAACTATGACATATAGGTAGAGAAGTACACACATCACAGCTTGATGAAATGTCTACAGACTGAATGCATCCAGCTCCCAGATGAAGAAATGAAACATTCCCAAGTCCTCGGAACCCCTGCTTGCTTCCTCCAGCCTCCGCTGGCCCCGAGGGTCACTGCTACCCTGACTGACACCATGGATTTGCTGGATCTGTTTGTGCTTCAGGTTCAAGGACTCCTACAGCCAAGGCTTGTTTGGTATCTTTTTTGATTTTAAAAAGAGGACACTTTGGCCAGGCGTGGTGGCTCCTGTAATCCCAGCACTTTGGGAGGCCGAGGTGGGCGGATCGCCTGAGGCCAGGAGTTCAAGACCAGCCTGGCAAACATGGTGAAACCCCATCTCTACTAAAAACACAAAAATTAGCCGGGTGTGGTGGTGTGTGCCTGTAATCCCAGCTACTCGGGAGGCTGGGGCAGGATAATTGATTAAACTTGGGAGGTGGAGGTTGCGGTGAGCTGAGATTGCGCCATTGCACTCCAGCCTGGGCTACAAAGTGAGACTCTGTCTCAATCAATCAATGGCCGGGCCAGTGGCTCACACCTGTAATCCCAGCACTTTAGGAGGCCGTGGCGGGTGGATCACCTCAGGTCAGGAGTTCAAGACCAGCCTAGTCAACATGGTGAAACCCCATCTCTACTAAAAATACAAAAATTAGCTGGGCCTGGTGGTGGGCGCCTATAATCCCAGCTACTTGGGAGGCTGAGGCAGGAGAATCGCTTGAACCCAGGAGGCAGAGGTTGCAGGGAGCTGAGATTGCGCCACTTTACTCCAACCTGGGCGACAGAGTGAAGCTCTGTCTCTAAACAAATAAATAAAATAAAAAATAAATGAATACATAAAAATAAAAAGATGACACTTTGACTTCGATGTTTGGCCCTAAACGAAGCAATCAGCATCTGTTCCTCCCAGAGTCAGAATTTAATCTGTGGATCAGAGGGCTGTGCTGTGGGAACCCACCGGCTCTGCATGCTGGCCTCACACCCTGGGCAAGAGGGGAGGTGTGGGAAATGGCACTAACAAGGTGCTCACCAGCGGGGAGAGCTCCCTCTCATGCGGGGTCCTCTTAGCTGGACACTCCGAGATCCCCTCTCAGCAATGCTGTTATTTTTAAACATTTTATTTTTATTTTTAATTTTTTAGAGACAGAGTCTTGCTCCAACACTCAGGCTGGAGGGCAGTGGTACAGTCATGGCTCACTGCAGCCTTGAGTTCCTGGGCTCAAGTGATTCTCCTGCCTCAGCCTCCCAAGTAGCTGGGATTACAGGTGCACATCTCTGCAGCCAGCGATGCTATATTTTTCAGATCACAGGTTCCCACATGCTGGAGACTGATCGTGTTTCACTCCTGTTTGCTTCCTAGGGGGCTCAGAGCTGATTTGCAGCCCATCTTGATGTGCCTCATGGCTACTGATCTCATCCCTGCATTCTTCTCCTCCTGCTTCCACCAGCTTTATTAAGGTATCATTGACAAATAAAAAGTGTATATATTTGCAGTATATAACGTGATGCTTTGATGTATGCATACATTGTGAAATGACTAAATCAAGCTAATTAATATCCATCATCTCAGATACTTATCTTTTTTTTGTTGTTGTTACGAACGTGAGTAGCTAGGACTATAGGTGCAAGCCACTGCACCCAGCTGTGGTGGGAACATTTAGGATCTATCTCTTAGCAGTTTTTAGGCATGCAGTAATACATGATTGTTAACTATATCGCCAGGTTGTACAATAGCTCTCCAGAAGTTATGCGCCCTGAGTGACTTGCGTTCATCTTGTTATTTAAACCCTTATTTGCCACCTCCTCTGTGGATGCTTTTTATCTAATTGAATAGCAACTGGCTCAAATGCTCAGTAAGGTGGGAGCAGGGTACACACAAATAGATACATGCATAAAGCTATGGGTAATGATCGCTATTAGATCACACGGCCTCTGGCACTGGTTTTTGGAAACGACACCCAACCAGTGGTGTCTCAGAATGAGGCTTCACAAACCTTAATGTGGACTCAAACCATTTGGGGATCTTGCTAGTGTGCTGACTTTGAATCAGTAGGTTTGGGATGGGGCCTGAGATGCTGTGTTCCTAAGGAAGCCCAATTCTCTGGTCCTTGAATGCCCTTTGAGCAGCCAGGCCTTGAAAATTGTAAGAACTTTTTTTTTTTTTTTTTTTGAGAAGGAGTCTCACTCTGTCACCCAGGCTGGAGTGTAGTGGGGCCATCTAGGCTCACCCCAACCTCCGCCTCCTGGGTTCAAGTGATCCTCCTGCCTCAGCCTCCCAAGTGGCTTGGATTACAGGTGCATGCCACCACGACTGGCTAATTTTTGTATTTACTTTAGTAGAGATGGGGTTTCACCATGTTGATCAGGCTGGTCTCGAACTTCCTACCTCAGGTGACCCGCTCACCTTGGCCTCCCAGAGTGCTGGGATTACAGGCGTGAGCCACCACTCCCGGTAAGAACGTTTACATTCCCAGAACCATTTTTGCCTCAGGTTCCTCACTATCACCTTCTTAATTCCATCTAATGGCATGTGATACTCATCCCCAAAAGACACCAACAAAGCCAAAATCACAGATTTCTAGGTTGATGGAACAGGGGCCGCCTAGGAGACCTGTTTCCACCAGCTCTTAATTCAAATGTGTTCTGTTACCTAGCATTTCCCTACCCATCCGTTAAGATTGGTTACTTACTTCATCGGGGAGCTCAAGGATAGTAATATTTTTGGAACGAAATGTGATTTCAAAAGTGATCACCAGGGTTGCATTTAATGGTGGCCTGTGGAGGACAAGAGTCTAATTACTGCTGAGAAGCTGGACAGTGAGATCTCAACCAACCCTCTGGATTTCACATCTGGCCTTCAACTCTCAAGCAGTTAGGCTTAGGAAATGCTAGGTGCTCCACCCTGATGGGTAGCCAGGTGGAAATCGTGCTCCCGTAGGCCTTCCTGTCTTAATCAGGAGACCAGGTGTCTGTCCCTTCAGGGTAGGGTGAGAACAGAGAAGAAAGCAAGGTGGGTGTGAATGACAAATGAGGCATCTGGAGGCCCAGGACCGTGGCTCCCTGCTCCGGTGGGAAAGGCTTCCCAGAGAGTCGGGTCTGAGTGGGGCCTTGTGTGAGGGCCAGCATTTGACTGAAGGAGGAGAGGGCTCAGGCAGGGAATGAGGAGGGAGCAGTCCGGACTTGGAAAGCTGGGAGAGGCATCTGACGGGAGAAGGCAGATGTGCTGGCTGGAAGCCGTCTTCTGGGCCCTGGCCCTGGGTTTAGAGGCCTGGAGTTAATCTGAAAGGCAGTGGGAGGCCACTCCAGGGGCCTGGACAGTTGTGGTAAGAGATGACTTGTAAGATTTGCAGGGGGAGGGTGTGCAGAGACAGAAGGAGCTGGGAGCGGAATGGCAGGCCTGCTAGGGGCCTCGGAACCAAAGCTTTGCTTTCAGGCCAGATCTCGCAGGAGAGGCGAGGAAGGGGGAAAGGCATAAAGAGAGAAGGAGAGGGTTCTAGGTCTTCTTCATCAGGGAATCCTCACGGCTGGGAGGCAAGGGAAGGACAAAGCAGCTAAGAGCAGAGAAGGCAGAGGCAGCCTCCCTGGCACAGACTGGACTAGGTCGCGACGTTTGTGCCTAAGCCAGCAGGTGGCAGCAAGTGAGACTCCCAGACAAGGCCCAGCATGAGCGGCATTCACCCGACGTGGCCACTCCTGCTTCTGAAAGCAACCTCAGAAGTGCCAACCAGCAGCTCAGCTCCCTGCCCCTTGACCTTCAGGGCTCTCTTCAAATACTTAGTCTTAGAAAGAATCGCTTTGAAATCTGGCCTCAACACCGGTCACACAGGACTCTTCCCATGCGGGGAAAAGACGCACGTCTCTGGGAGAAGCACCCCTTCCTTCTCCTGCCAGGGAAAGTGAGGACTCAGGGTGGGGGTCAGCCTTTGCGATCCCATCCTGCAGCCCGGGGCTAGCACCATCCCTTTTTCTAGGGCTTGTCTTACAGGTAAGAGGCAAGAATAGCGCATCTGAAATCTGAACAGACTGAGCCAGGGGTCAGCCCTGACCCAGCTGCGGGGCCTGAGCGGAGCTGAGCACAGCGCCAGGCCCAGGAACTTACCGCAGGGTGAGGCTGACGTTGGTCGAGCTGCCGTTCTCCAGCTTTACGACAGGAGGAACAGTGAGGCTGACGCTTGACTCTGGAAGGACCCAAATCAATGACATGAGGCACTGGGTCAGAGTTCAGGCCTGTGACAGAAAACTGGGCCGAAACCCCTGACATCTGAACTCCTGAGCTCTGACTCTCTGACGAGCCCTATTCTGTGATGGGACTGCAAACACAGGCCCTGGTTAGCTTCCTTCCCCACCTGCTGCCAGAGACAGAGATGGAGGAAAACAGGCCTGAGCAGGAAACGCCGGAGCGTCCTCCTCCCGCTGCGATGACAGGCTCTGAGAGTCTGCGGCTGAGTTAACCAGAGATTGTTAGAGAACCATGGAGCCCAAAAATCATTACAGGGGAATTCCAGCGTGACCTGGGAGCGTAAAAGGCAGCCGTGAACCACCTCTTCAGATGAAAGCACAGGGGTCTCCTCTGTTCATGAAGTCAAAATGGTCCTGAAGAACTGGGCCAGCCCCTTTCCTGCACTCTCAGAGAGACACATGGGCCCAGCTAATGAGTTTCTAAGGAGCCCTTTGGGGTCCCTTCCCAACCCAGCTCACCCTGGCACTGGTCCCCTTCCTGGGGCTGACTATCTGCGGGGTACTGGAGGAGGAAGGGTGAATAGTTGTTTCACTCTGAGATTTCTTCTTGGCATTAAGCTGTTAACTCAGAATCAAGTTGACAAACAGGCCCCCAGATGAGGGAAGAAGCAGATCTGGGTCTTAGGGTCTTAGAAAACCATCGTGGGGCTGGGCGTGGTGGCTCACGCTTAGAAACCTGGCGCTTTGGGAGGCCAAGGCGGGAGGACTGCTTGAGCCCAGGAGCTGGAGATCAGCCTGGGCAACACAGAAAGACTCTGTTTCTACAGAATATTTTCTTAAAAAAAGAAAGAAAACTGGGCAGGCGTGGTGGCTCATGCCTGTAATCCCAGCCTTTTGGGAGGCCGAGGCAGGTGGATCACGAGGTCAGAGGATCAAGACCGTCCTGGCCAACATGGTGAAACCCTGTCTCTACTAAAAATACAAAAAATTAGCTGGGTTTGGTGGCATGCACCTGTAGTCCCGGCTACTTTGGAGGCTGAGGCAGAGAACTGCTTGAACCTGGAAGGCAGAGGTTGCAGTGAGCTGAGATCGCTACTGCATTCCAGCCTGGGCAACAGAGCGAGACTCCATCTCAAAAAAAAAAAAAAAAGAAAGAAAACCCTCTTGCAAGGCCAACTAGCCCAGAGCACCGGACTGAGTAAGCCTCTCTTTGTGTGCTTCCTGTATTCTTTGTGCAGCCCCGTCCCAGCCTCTGCTCCCAGGGGTACTGGAAGGCTCATGCCACACCTGCCATCTCACTTCCCCTGCCTGATTGCCTTCAGGGTTACACACAGCCTGGGGTTATGGTCATGACTCTAGGCCGGGCGGGGAAGCAGGTGCATGACTGTGATGAGGAGCGTCTTTGCAACGGCAGAGGCTGCCAGCATGCCCGGTTCCCCGACCCAGACCCCGTCACTCAGACCCCCCAGGCCCAGTTCCCCCCACCCAGACCCTGTCACTCAGACCCCTCAAAGGCAGATGAATTGAGATCTGAAATTTTAGACGCTTGGGTTGGAAGGAAACTTTTTTTTTTTTTTTTTTTTGAGACAGAGTCTCGCTTTGTTGCCCAGGCTGGAGTGCAGTGGCATGATCTTTGCTCACTGCAACCTCTGCCTCCTGGGTTCAAGTGATTCTCCTGTCTCAGCCTTCCAAGTAGCTGGAATTATAGGCATGCAGCACCACGTCTGGCTAATTTTTGTATTTTTAGTAGAGATGAGGTTTCACCATGTTGGCCAGGCTGGTCTTGAACTCCTGACATCAGGTGATCTGCCTGCCTTGGCCTTCCAAAGCGCTGGGACTACAGGTGTGAGCCACCATACCTGGCCCGGAAGGAAACTTAAAGTTACCCAATTTGACCTCTGATTCTCCGCCTCAATACTCCTACCTGGTAGTTTCTCTTCCTCTGTAACCTCGTCTCCTCTAAGGAGATCACAGCCTGAAGCTTGCCCTGCCAGGCCAGGCTCTGCTACCCAGAGCCTCTCAGACCCTGAGAGCTGCCTTCTCCATGCTCAGCACATGTGAATACAGATGGAAGCTCTGTCCCAAGTCCGTAGGTCCCCACAGTCCACAATCTCCAGTCCCCTGCTGGCTGGCTGGGCTCCTCAGAACAGGATGTCCCCTGGCCCTTGCAGAGGCCAAGGTGCTCAGAGCGGCAAAAGGCAGTCCCTTCCTTATGTGGAGCCTCAGAGCCTGGAAGCCGCTGTGGCGAGTCTGCCCTTCTTTTTCAGGCTCACTGTTCTGAGGTCATTCTGAGGATTTCTTCTGGGCTTGCATAGCTGGGACTTCCTGTACCACCAGTTCAATTCTGCCTAGAGCTGAGGACCATGCCAGATAAGCAAGTCCCACAACCAGCCACTGCTCAGGACAGGATGCTGAAAGTGATGCTGGGCGGCCAGCCAGACTCTGGATCCCTAGGGCTCTGCCAGAGGTAGTGGAGGTCAAGGTGAGTGGGAGATCTACATGGCTACAGAGCTCCTACAATCTTTGCATATAGGAGGTTGAGGGCCGGGCACAGCGGCTCACACCTGTAATCCTAACACTTTGGGAGGCCGAGGTAGGTGGATCACCTGAGGTCAGGATTTGGAGACCAGACTAGCCAATATGGCGAAACCCCATCTCTACCAAAAAGACAAAAAATTAGGCCGGGCGCGGTGGCTCAGGCCTGTAATCCCAGCATTTTGGGAGGCCGAGGCAGGTGGATCACGAGGTCAGGAGATAGAGACCATCCTGGCTAACATAGTGAAACCCTGTCTCTACTAAAAATACAAAAAATTAGCTGGGCGTGATGGCAGGCGCCTGTAATCCCAGCTACTCGGGAGGCTGAGGCAAGAGAATCACTTGAACCCAGGAAGCGGGGGCTGCAGTGAGCTGAGATTGCGCCACTGCTCTCCAGCCTGGGTGACAGAGTGAGACTCCGTCTCAACAAAATAGAATAAAATAAAAAAATAAAATAGGAGTTTGTGAACACTCCAAGAACCAGACCAGAGAATGTTTATTCCCTCCTTCTTTAGCACCACAGAAAACTGAGGTGCTCAGCAACTGAGATATTGGGCTCCAAAGTCACGCAGTTCCATCCTGGCTCTGACACTTCCTAGCTGTGTGACCATGGGTAAGGTACTTACCCTCTCTGAGCCTCCATTTCCTTATCTGTACAGTGGGGAGAATACCAAGACCTATCTGAATGAGTCATGGTGAAGATACAATGTAGCAATGTTTGTAACATGTTTTCCACAAAGCCCAGATGCTAAATAATTGTTACTATTATTATCATCACATGATAACTGCAGGATATTTTTAGCCCAAGGTGGGAGGCAGTTAGGAAGCTGGCCCCCCAAGTCTAAAATCTTTACATTGTATCAGATTTACAAAATGAGTCACAACACCATCCTGAGTTCCTCCTAAAGAGAGTGATCATGGCTCACTGCAGCTTTGACCCCGCCAGGCTCAAGCCATCCTCCCACCACTGCCGCCTCTCACCTCAGTAGCTACGAACACAGGCATGCACCACCACACCCAGCTAATTAAAAAAAAATTTTTGGCCGGGTGCGGTGGCTCACGCCTGTAATCCCAGCACTTTGGGAGGCTGAGGCGGTCAGATCACTTGAGGTCAGGAGTTTGAGACCAACCTGGCCAACATGGTGAAACTCTGTCTCCACTGAAAATACAAAAATTAGCCGGATGTGGTGGCGCACGTCTACAAACCCAGCTACTTGGGAGGCTGAGGCACTAGAATCGCTTGAACCCGGGAGGCAGAGGTTGCAGTG
This sequence comes from Homo sapiens, assembly GCF_000001405.40. NCBI lineage: Eukaryota > Metazoa > Chordata > Mammalia > Primates > Hominidae > Homo > Homo sapiens. The sequence goes on along the minus strand of NC_000017.11, from coordinate 3,643,639 downwards.
AACTGAGATCACGCCACATTGCACTCCAGCCTGTGCAACTGAGTGAGAATCCGTTTAAAAAAAAATTTTTTTTTGTAGAGATGGGGTCTCACTATGTCGCTCACGCTGGTGTCAAATTCCTGTGCCCAAGTGATCCTCCCTCTTTGGCCTCCCAAAGTGTTGGGATTACAGGTATGAGCCACCATGCTTGGCCAGGTTTTTAAAATTAATTCTTATAGGCCTCTCTCCCACTCTGCACCTACCCAATACCAGCTACTCTGCTATACACCGAGCTCCCATTTTCTAATTATTACAAAAGTGAGAGGTAGGCATTTTTTTTTGTTTTTGAGACAGAGTCTTGCTCTGTCGCCCAGGCTGGAGTGCAGTGGCACGATCTCGACTCACTGCAACCTCTGCCTCCCGGGTTCAAGCAATTCTCCTGTCTCAGCCTCCCGAGTAGCTGGGACTATAGGCGCCCGCCACCACGCCCGACTAATTTTTTGTATTTTTGGTAGAGACGGGATTTCACCATGTTAGCCAGGATAGTCTCGATCTCCTGACCTTGTGATCCACCCTCCTTGGCCTCCCAAAGGGCTGGGATTACAGGCGTGAGCCAACGCGCCAGGCCGAGGTAGGCATTATTATTCCTATTTTACATTTCAGGAAACTGAGCATTCTAAGAGGAAAGGTTTCTTGCCCACACAGCTTGAAAATGGTGAGGGCAAGATTCAAACTTAGGCCTGTCTAGTCCAAAGCCCAGGTTCTTGCCATGAGGCTGCACTGCCTCAAGATTCCACCCAGAGAAGTCAGAGACAGACAAGTCTGAAGGCCAATCATCTCATCTGTGGTCCTTCATAATTACTACCCAAAGCAAAGAGAAGAAAGAAACAGCAAGGGCAGAATGAGGTTGGAGATTCAATTCCAGTGACTTGATTTTATGGTGGCTTCCATTCTTCTTTCCTTTTTTCTTTTTGAGATGGGGAATTGCTCTGTCACCCAGGCTGGAGTGCAGTGGCGTGATCTCAGCTCACTGCAACCTCCTGCCTCCCGGGTTCAAGCGATTCTCCTACCTCAGCCTCCTAAGTAGCTGGGCTTACAGGCGCTCGCCACCATGCCCAGCTAATTTTGTATTTTTAGTAGAGACGGGGTTTCACCATGTTGGCCAGGCTGGTCTCGAACTCCTGACCTCAAGAGATCCACCCACCTTGGCCTCCCAAAGTGCTGGGATTACAGGCGTGAACTACAGCACCTGGCCCATTCTTTTCTAATGGCATTCAGGAAAGGAGGCAAAGTGATCTCATGCAGCAGGGATCCTATGCAGGTCCCAGCTTTGTTACTTTCTAGCTGTGTGACTTTGGGGAAGCCTTCTACCCTCTCTGGGCCTGCTTCCCCTCCAGGTAACTGGAGTGGTGGTAGCTGGATTTTTTGTTTTTCTCCTAGGGGAGCGTGTTAGCATTACTAATGGGGCTTTAAAGAGTATGTATGAGCGACTGGGCACACACACACACACACACACACGCCCGGGCACACATACATGCACGCAGACACACACCCAGGCACACACACACACGCCCAGGCACACACACACACACACACGCCCGGGTACACACACACACACAGGCCCAGGCAAATACACGCGCGCGCACACTCCCAGGCACACGCACATGCTCCAGCCTCAGTCTTACAAAGTCTGATCCTACAGGGTGGGGACAGGGTTCTGACGTCTGTATTAAGAAACACCAGGTTCCAGGGTCTGAAAGACCTGCCTTTCCCGGAAATTGCTTATCCACAAAGTGTGACTACAAACATTACTGATTGTTTAACAAACCTGGAAGAGATGATCACGTGACCATGTTTCCTCAGAGATGCAAGAGGCCAGATAACGGCAATGGTGCTAGGCTCTGGGGAAACCTCTGCAGGATTTGTATTGTTTGTCAAGGTTCACTTGAAATGGGAATTTAAGGTATCTGGGCCAGGCACGGTGGCTCATGCCTGTAATCCCAGCACTTTGGGAGGCCAAGGCAGGCGAGCCACGAGGTCAGGAGCTCAAAACCAGCCTGGCCAACATGGTGAAACCCCATCTCTACTAAAAATACAAAAAACTAGCTGGGCGTAGTTGCGGGTGCCTGTAATCCCAGCTACTAGGGAGGCTGAGGCAGGAGAATTGCTTGAACCCGGGAGGTGGAGGTTGCAGTGGGCTGAGATCGTGCCACTGCACACCAGCCTCAGCGACAGAGTGAGACTCTGTCTCAAAAAAAAAAAAAAAAAAAAAAAAATATATATATATATATATATATATATGTATCTGATTTTTGTATTTGACCCAAGAGGCAAGCTGAGGATCAAATGAATGGGCCTGGCACCTTTGAAGTGCTAAACATGGCTCTTTATGGAAGGAATTCCAGAGATGTTTTGGGCAGTGGGAGAATTGCTAGAAGGGCACGGGCCTCAAAGAGGCCTGCACTGAAGGTCATTCCTCCTACAAGGACGTGTAAACTCCATCCCAGCCTGTGTTCCAACTGACCCCTAGCCCTGCTGGGCTGTTGCACCCTGTTCCTCAGCCCCTCTCTAAGGGACAGGTTTTCTCATCTTACAAGGGGATGCTGGGCAGACTCCTCAGGTGATCTGTGCCTGGCAGAACCGGGTACAACAGGGTGGCTACCTCTTCTGCTTCCCCAGTGTTTCCCAGGACCCAAGACTCTCTCTGTGAGGTCCACAGGGCAGAGGCATAAGCCATTCTTCTTTTTTTTCTTTTAAAGTCAGGGTCTCAACTCTGTTGCCCAGGCCGGAGTGCAGTAGTGTGATCATAACTCACTGTAGCCTTGACTTCCTGGGCTCAGGCAATCTTCCTGCCTCAGCCTCCCAAGTAGCTAGGACTATAGGCACGAGCCACTGCATATGGCTAATTTTTAAAAATTATTTTTTAGTAGACATGGGGTTTCACTACGTTGCCCAGGTTGGTCTCAAACTCCTGGCCTCAAGAGATCTTCCTGCCTTGGCCTCCCAAAGCTCTGGAATTATAGGCGTGAGCCACTGCTCCAGCCTGAGCCAGTCTTTAAGATATTATCCCAGGTTGTTGGAGCTCTACCGTTTGACTTTGAGAATCAGCTGCATAGTCTGACCTTAAGAACCAGCTGTTCACTTTGGTACAGAAAGGTACAGAGATACCAGGGCAGAAGGCCAATTATATGTGGAACTATCTGGCTCTTTGCAGAACACCTGGATCCCAGACCTGGGTCTGCTCCACCACCCCAGTGGCCACATGGCCAAGAGGCAGACAGAGACATGTGGTCTGAATGATTCTAAACCCTTGGCAACAAACAGATCAGATTACTCCTTCCTCTAGCCACCATTTCCCTCTTTACAAAGTTGACGTGTCATTTCTAAACTTACCACATTTCTCTACGAGCTTCAGGGGAAAAAGGATAAAAATAGTCAGCCAATTCCTTATCATGTTTCTCGATTTCTCAGAACTAGGAAGAAAAACAGCAAGAGAGAAGTTCAGGGGAATGTTGAATCAGCTCAGCTCCCTGTAGACAATCTGCCCTCTGGAGCATGGATGGCTCATAAAGGACTGCCACCTGACAGCTGTGACCTCAGGGCTTTGCATCACGGCCTCAGAGGGACACCCTAGAGAGGACTTATCTTTCTTTGATATACAGGGGAAACGGGCTCCGAGCAGATAAATGGGTTGTGTAAAGTGCCCCCCTGAGGAAGTGAACAAAGACCAGAATTTTTCCCTCTTCAATTGCTTTTTGTAAAAACTTAGTTAGCAGAAAGAAAGAATGCAATTTTACTGGCTTGAGATTCTTTTTCTCCAAAAGTTGTTAAAACTGTGGTCAGATATTTGACATTGTGAACCTATAAACCTCAAGGAAATTAATTTCCTTTCCTGTCCTGGGATAAGAGTCTAAGGGCTGATGACACCAACTGACCCTTAAGACTTAAAAAAACATTTTTTTTTAATATACATATTTAAATTTTTTTTTTTTTGAGACAGAGTCTTGCTCTGTTGCCCAGGCTGGAGTGCAGTGGTGCGAACTCTGTTCACTGAAACCTCCACCCCCTGGGTTCAAGCAATTCTTGTGCCTCAGCCTCCTGAGTAGCTGGGATTACAGGTGCCCCCCACCATGCCCGGCTAACTTTTGTATTTTTAGTAGAGATGGGGTTTCACCATGTTGGCCAGCCTGGTCTCAAACTCCTGACCTCGAGTGATCCGCCCGCCTCAGCCTCCCAAAGTGCTGGGGTTACAGGTAGGAGCCACCGCGCCTGTCAAGACTTTATTTGACAAGTGTCACCATTCCAGGACTGGCTGGGGTCATTCACAAGGAGGACTCGGGGAGGGATGAGCCCCAGAGCAAGTCCTTGGTTTAGTGTGGAAGATGGGGAGCTGCATTCCTGTAAACCCAAGACACAGCAGGTGAACAGTGGGTCAAGAGCAGCCAGGCCGGCATGGATTTCTGTAGCTTGGTCTCCGTGCTGCCTCAGTACACAGTCTCACGGGCCTCCTGCAGACTGTGGGGAGCTCTGGGTAAGGTCTGTGTGGAGACATCCCTGTTCCCACTCTGATTTCAGTTTCCCCAAGGCCTCCAGCATCTCCGGACATCTCCCTTACACACTCCTCAAGAAGTCTCCCTGGCTGCTCCAGCTGTCTGACCTCTGTTGGCCCGTCTCCTCCAGGGTTCTCTCTTTGCCTGCTGCAGGTCTGCCTCATCTGAGACCCTTCTCACCGGCCGGGAATGACCCCGTACCTACTCTCTGGCCTCCTCTGGGGGCCTTGCTCTTGGCGCTGGATCCCTGTGCTCTGTCCCCTGACCTTGGAGGAATTGCCCTCCTGCGTGTATGGAATGACCACAGGCCTCCCTCTCACTCTTGCTGCCCTCCGCTCCTCACACCTGCCCTGTGGCCTCAAGTTCAGGATTCAGTTTGTTGCCCAGGACAGAGTCTGGTTTTTCTCCAGAAATTAGATGCAGAATCAGGCCTAACCAGCTTCTCAAACTCACAGACTTGGTCAGCAAACATTCCCAAGCCTCAAAGGCTGAGACCCCTGGAGGAACGATGCCAGCAGAGACAAAACGACATTGAGAGGTAAGTCAATTAAAATGTTAAAAAACATCAGATTAGGCTGAGCGCAGTGGCTCGTGTGTGTAATTCCAGCACTTTGGGAGGCCGAGGCAGTTGGATCACTTGAAGTCAGGAGTTCGAGACCAGCCTGGCCAACATGGTGAATCCCCGTCTCTACTAAAAATACAAAAATTAGCCAGGCGTGGTGGCATGTGCCTGTAGTCCCAGCTACTCAGGAGGCTGAGGCAGGAGAATCGCTTGAACCCGGGAGGTGGAGGTTGCAGTGAGCCGAGATTGCACCATTGCACTCCAGCCTGAGTGATAAGAGTGAAACTCCGTCTCAAATTAAAAAAAAAAAACAAAAAAAAAACCAGATTGATAATTACATACAACTAGTGGCTTGTGAAAGCTACAAGATAGAAATGAAGTATCTCCTGACAATGGGCTCTGTCTGGCGTGCCCTTCCTATGTAAGTTCTAACTATTGTCCAGGCCTCATTCAGATGTCACATGTTTCAAGAAGGCTCCTCACCCATTCAGTCCCTTCCCAGGAGCAACCTGGGGCTAGGGGTCTAGTGTGGCAGCTCCTGTCTGCCAGGTATGAGTTGGTCCTGTCCTCTGTTCTACGACCTGGAACTCCCTGGGTCTCCTGCTTTTGGAGAGGGTACACAAATAGTGGCAAGGGCTGTGTGCACTGGAGACAGGCTTGACCTATTTATTACTTATGCGACCTTGTGGTGCCAAACAAGGAGGTGGTAACTACCTCACAGGACTTAAATGAGGAGATGTAAAGCACGCATTGTCAAGTGGGACTAAAATTGGCTGGGGGTAGGCTGGGCGCGGTGGCTCACGCCTGTCATCCCAGCACTTTGGGAGGCCGAGGTGAGCGCATCACCTGAGGTCAGGAGTTCGAGACCAGCCTGGCCAACATGGTGAATCCCCATCTCTACTAAAAATACAAAAATTAGCTGGGCATGGTGGCTCAGGCCTGTAGTCCCAGCTACTCGGAAGGCTGAGGTAGGAGAATCGCTTGAACCCCGGAGGCGGAGGTTGCAGTGAGCCGAGATCGCGCCACTGCACTCCAGCCTGGGTGACAGAGGCTGCAGACTCCATCTCAAAAAAAAAAAAAAAATTGGCTTGGGGTGGTAGTGAAGAAATCTAGCTATTACAATGGTTTGTGGCCACAGAAACAAATACACAGCGTACTAGTGGTATTAAATTTTATGGGAAGGGGGTAGGTAGGAATAACGAGGTTGAGAAACAAGGATATAAAGTGGTTACCTCTGTTGCTTAGGGCGCCTAGCGAGCTCTCACAAAACACAGTAATCCTCAATGTTACTGGAAGAGGCAGAGCTCAGGAGTCCTCCCTTCGCCCAGTGTGAAAACCCGGAGGGGAGGATGGGGTCTCGTGCTGCTCAGTCCCCCGGAGCCCCGCACTCCGCACGTCAACCGGCGCTCTCGCAAAGGTTCTCTCAGCGTCTCCAAAGCAATCTGCAAATTCCCCAACCGAGACCCAGGCGGCAACTGAGCAGAAGGTAAGGGGCTGGGAACGGCACCCACCCCGGCAGCCCGCTGCCCCTGCCTCGGCTGACCACCGCTCGGGCCCTTCCACCCGGGGGTTGTCCCGTGTCGCGAGGCCAGCACTGGTGGCGGGGAAAGGAGCCCGCCGCGGCTGAGGGCGCTGGACCCCCGGCAGGCTGCCCCGCTGACCTGCTGTGCCTCAAGGGGTCCGCCTGGGAAACAGGGGAGGCCGCGTCCGCTCTCACCTGAGCGCCCCCAGGCTCGAGGAACCGCCCTCACGGGACGCATGAGCCTCGCCAGGTGCCGGTCAGGAATGCACCGCGTTCCCCTGCCCGGCTAGACTTTGGGAGAGGCGGGTCCGCTGTCACCTGACCTCCGCCACCTGACTCGTGGGGCCGGATCTCGGCGAGATGAGCTCTGGGAGTTGTAGTTTCCGCGCGTCTTAGACGGACAGAGCGCAGCTGGGTCGGGCCGGGGCGCAGAGATCGGGGCTCCGGCGTGAGGGAAGATGAGGTCCGCTGCCAGGGACACAGAGACTCTTGGAGCCGCCAGCGCCTCCCGGCTCCTTTCGTGAGCGAAGCTCAGACCGCCCTCCATTGGGCGGAAATCAGAGCCCGTGGGGCGGGGCCCCCTTTAGGTCCCGCCTTCCGCCGCCTCTCCGCCTATAGCCGGGGCCCGCCGAGAGGTTGCGTGGAAGCTCGCCTTCCCCGGCCAGTGGGAAGACGAGAAGCCTCCATGTTGGGTGTGGCTGAAAGATTGGCAGGCGACTCCCCGCCCCTGCCCCGCCCCCCTGGGCGAAGAGCGCGGACTTGTGGGGCCGCTGGCTGCAGACTGGAGCTGCGCGGGTCAGGGAGATAATGGCTGCGCGGCCGATCACCCTCGGCATTGACCTGGGCACCACATCTGTGAAGGCAGCTCTGCTGAGGGCCGCGCCCGACGACCCATCCGGGTTCGCAGTGCTGGCGAGCTGTGCCCGTGCTGCGCGGGCAGAGGCGGCGGTCGAGAGCGCGGTGGCCGGGCCCCAGGTGAGTTGGACCCCCGGGGCCGCGCCGCCTCCAGGAGCCTCCTGACCACCCTTTTCCACCCCAGGAGGCCTCCCTGACAGCCCTTCCCGCAATGAAGTCTCTATTCCAGCTTGTCCCCAGCTTCTCCAGGGGCCCGTCTGCCTGCAGCAGCTGTGCTCATGATCCCTTAGGTCTGGTCCCAGAATCCTTCCCACCTGCTGGGACCGATTCCCCCCCGCCCCCTCCCCGACTCTCTGGCTTCTTCTGGGGGCCTTGCGCTTGGCGCTGGATCCCTGTGCTCTCTGTCCCCTGACCTTGGAGGAACTGATCTCTTGTGTGTATGGAATGACCACAGGCCTCCCTTTCACTCTTGCTGCTCTCCGCTCCTCACACCTGCCCTGTGACCTCAAGTTCAGGATTCAGTTTGTTGCCCAGGGCAGAGTCTGGGTTTTCCTCCGGAAATCAGATGTCAAATCAGGCCTAACTGGCTCCTGGCTCATTCCACAGAAGCAGAATGCGGACCAAGAAACCTTTGGTCAGCCGGGCGCGGTGGCTCACGCCTGTAATCCCAGCGCTTTGGGAGGCCGAGGCGGGCGGATCACGAGGTCAGGAGATCGAGACCATCCTGGCTAACACGGTGAAACCCCGTCTGTACTAAAAATACAAAAAATTAGCGGGGCGTGGTGGCGGGCGCCTGTAGTCCCAGCTACTCGGGAGGCTGAGGCAGGAGAATGGCGCGAACCCGGGAGGCGGAGCTTGCAGTGAGTCGAGATCGCTCCGTTGCACTCCAGCCTGGGTGACAGAGCGAGACTCCTTCCCTTCCTTCCCTTCCTTCCTTCCTTCCTTCCTTCCTTCCTTCCTTCCTTCCTTCCTTCCTTCATTCTTTCCTTTCTTTCTCTTTCTTACCAAGTCTCGCTCTGTTGCCCAGGCTGGAGTACAGTGGCGTGATCTGGGCTCACTGCAACCTCCGCCAACTGGATTCAAGTGATTCTCCTGCTTCAGCCTCCCGAGTAGCTGGGACTACAGGTGTGAGCCACCGCGCCCGGCTACTTTTTGTATTTTTAGTAGAGACAGGGTTTCGCCATGTTCGCCAGACTGGTCTTGAACTCCTGACCTCAAGTGATCTGCCCACTTCAGCCTCCCAAAGTGCTAGGATTACAGTTGTGAGTCACTGCGCCTGGCCCAGCTTTGTTTTTCACAAGCTCTTGCCACATACATGGACACGGTTGTTTAGGGTTCAGAGCCCATTTGGCTCAGAAGCATTTCTGAGGATAGGGATTTCAGGAGCACTTTGTATCTACATAGAAGCTTTCAAGATTAGTTTGGTTGGGACATTAGGGCATATTAAAAGGATTCTTACTTAAAGGACTATGAATTGGAGGCAAAGTTGGCTCTGACCCTGGTGGGGTGAGCAGGAGAGCTGGCATTAGGGGAGAGTAGGCTCAGAAAGTGCCAGTTTCTCCTGAAATAGAGCACTTCTTTTTTTTTTTTTTTTTTTTTTGAGACAGGGTCTCGCTCTGTCACCCAGGCTGGAGTGCAGTGGTGCAATCTCTGCTCACTGAAACCTCTGCCTCCCGGGTTCAAGTGATTTTCGTGCCTCAGTTTCCCGAGTAGCTGGGATTACAGGTGTGCGCCACCATGCTTGGAGAATTTTTTTGTATTTTTGGTAGAGATGGGGTTTCACCATGTTGGCAAGGCTGGTCTCAAACTCCTGACCTCAACTGATCTGCCTGCCTCGGTTTCCCAAAGTGCTGGGATTACAGGTGTGAGCCACCGCACCCAGCATGGCCACTTTTTTTTTTTTTTTAATTGATCACTCTTGGGTGTTTCTCGCAGAGGGGGATTTGGCAGGGTCATAGGACAATAGTGGAGGGAAGGACAGCAGATAAACAAGTGAACAAAGGTCTCTGGTTTTCCTAGGCAGAGGACCCTGCGGCCTTCCGCAGTGTTTGTGTCCCTGGGTACTTGAGATTAGGGAGTGGTGATGACTCTTAACGGGCATGCTGCCTTCAAGCATCTGTTTAACAAAGCACATCTTGCACCGCCCTTAATCCATTTAACCCTGAGTGGACACAGCACATGTTTGAGAGAGCACAGGGTTGGGGGTAAGGTCACAGATCAACAGGATCCCAAGGCAGAAGAATTTTTCTTAGTACGGAACAAAATGAAAAGTCTCCCATGTCTACTTCTTTCTACACAGACACAGCAACCATCCGATTTCTCAATCTTTTCCCCACCTTTCCCCCTTTTCTATTCCACAAAACCGCCATTGTCATCATGGCCCATTCTCAATGAGCTGTTGGGTACACTACCCAGACGGGGTGGTGGCCGGGCAGAGGGGCTCCTCACTTCCCAGTAGGGGCGGCAGCACGGCCACTTCTTGAAAACTTTTCTGCCCTCCCTCCCCAGCTTTCAGCAGGCTGTTCTGTGCTTACAGGCTCACCCAGTGTGTCACACCTATTTAATGAAGTGCTTAGCGGAGGCCAGTCATTAACCCCCCCACACCACATATGAATCGTGCTCTGGGACAAACAGCACTGCTGTGAGTTAGTCTATATAGCAGGGTTTCTCAACCTTGGTGCTGCTGACATTTTGGGCTGCATAGTTTTTGTTGTGTGAGGGGTGTCCTGCATGTTGTAGAATGTTTAGCAACATCTCTGGCCCACTAGATGCCAGCCACGCTTGCCCCTCTTCCCCAGATGTGACAACCAAAAATGTCTCCATGTTGCCAAATGTTCCCTAGGTGACAAGACCACCCCGAGTAGGAACCAGTGATCTATAGTCATATCTGTGGCCGGGCGCGGTGGCTCTTGCCTGTAATCCCAGCACTTTGGGAGGCGGAGGTGGGTGGATCACTTGAGGTCAGGAGTTCGAGACCAGCCTGGCCAACATGGTGAAACCCTGTCTCTACTACAAAATAACAAAAATTAGCCGGGCGTGGTGATGCGTGCTTGTAATCCCAGCTACTTGGGAGGCTGAGGCAGGAGAATTGCTTGAACTCGGGAGGCAGAGGTTGCAGTGAGCCCAGATCATACCACTGCACTCCAGCCTGGGCAACAGAGTAAGACTCTGTCTCCAAAAAAAAAAAAAAAAAAAAAAAAGTAATATCTGCTGGCTGTGTTCTTTCCTCAAGTTCATACTTTTCACTCATAAGTATTAGCTATACCAGGGTCAAGCTTGGCAGCTGTGCAGACAATCAGTTTTTGGTATTTGCCCATTTAAAATACAAGGTTTTCGAGGGCAGTTCTGTGACCCTTTCACAGTTTATATTTATTTTTCCTCTCTGGGCATCAGTTTCCTCCGCTGTAAAAAGAGGCCTGAGGAGTAGGATTTAATGAGCTTCTAAGTACTGTGTGCAAGTCTAAAGCGCGAGGATTCGACGTGGATGTAGACCAACTGATATTCTGAGCCAAGGAGTGGGGGCAATGTCTATTCCTGTTACACTGGGGGTCTGTCCAAGAGCTACTCCCCAATCACACCCGCCCCTAAAACTGTTTCTAACTGCTGAACACTGCCTCCTTGTCTTTACCACATCCAGCCTGCTTACTTCTTCCCGTGTCTCCCCCCACACAACTCACGCACCCACTCACCCTGGGACCATTTGAAACAGCAGCTCTGTCCTGGGATGACACACCACCCCATGGCCATGTGGAGTCTTACTGTGTTGCTGAGGCTGGTCTCAGGCTGGTCTCAAAGTTCTGGGATCAAGTGATCTCCTGCTTCAACCTTCCCAGTGGCTGCGATTATAGGCGTGAGCCGCTGCGCCCAGCTGGGAGGACTCTTTAAACTAGCTCTGTCCAGTAGAAATATGACCTGCAGGCCAGGCGCGGTGGCTCACGCCTGTAATGCCAGCACTTTGGGAGGCCGAGGCGGGCGAATCACGAGGTCAAGAGATCGAGACCATCCTGGCCAACATGGTGAAACCCCGTCTCTACTAAAAATACAAAAATTAGCCGGGTGTGGTGGCGCGCACCTATAGTCCCAGGTACTTGGGAGGCTGAGGCAGGAGACTCGCATGAACCTGGGAGGCAGACGATGCAGTGAGCTGAGATCACACCACTGCACTCCAACCTGGTGACAGTGAGATTCCGTCTCAAAAAAAAAGAAATGTAACCTACAAATGGAGCCAGGCGTGGCCTTTTCAATTTTCTAGCAGCCCTATTAAAATAAACAAGTGAAATTAATTTTAATTGCATATTTTATTTAACCCAGTGTATCCAGCACATTATCAGTTTGATGTGTGATAATCAAGGCTGGGTGCGGTGGCTCACACCTGTAATCCCAGCACTTTGGGAGGCCGAGGTGGGTGAATCCCTGAGGCCAGGAGTTTGAGACCAGCCTGGCCAACGTGGCGAAACCCCGTCTCTACTAAAAATACAAAAATTAGCCCGGCGTGGTGGTGTGAGCCTGTAATCCCAGCTACTCCGGAGGCTAAGGCAGGAGAATCACTTGAACCTGGGAGGCAGAGGTTGCAGTGAGCCAAGATTATGCCACTGCACTCTAGCCTGAGCAATAGAGAGAGACTCTATCGCTAAAAAAAAAAAAAAAAAAAAAAAAAAAGCATTAAATTAGATAGTGTATATTTTTTGTCATACTAAATTGTAGTCCGGTGCATGTTTTACATTTACATGTCAATTCAGACTAGCCACAAGTGGCTAACGATTTCAGTATTGGACAGTGAGGGTCTAAACAAATGTCTATTCCCAGAACCCTTCTTCCTGCCCCCCACCCCCATGTCCCCACCCTGCTCTTCTTTCCTCCCTCTGGTGATCCTGCATAGCCACCTGGCTCCTCTGTGCCTCTTGTCTTCCACTTCCTCTTGGCTGTGGCCTCTCTTGCATGTAGAATCCTTGTTGAGCTCTGGGGCTGCTTCCTAGGAAAAGGCTGTGCTTCCCCTGTACTCCCTGCCCCATCCTACCCCTCCTCTCCTCCCTTCTTTCTCTTCTTTGTTCCTGCTTGTTAGGAGCCAAGAGCTGCCCCTGACCAAGGCCGCAGGCTGACAGGGGCAAGCGAGAGGTTTTCCGAGGAGGGGAAGACAGCACTCCCGGGAGGGAAGCAAGACGTCTGAGAACTCAGCCTTCAGATGCCTTTCTAAGACCTTAGCTTTGCTAGTTCCTCAAAGAGCTGACATTTATTGAGAGCTGAGCCACAATTCTCTTCCCCTTCTTCTCTTCTGAACTTTCTGTGGATTCCTCTAGTTGGTTTTTTTGAGATGGAGTCTCACTTTGTCACCCAGGCTGGAGTGCCGTGGCGTGATCTCGGCTCACCGCAACCTCCGCCTCCCAGATTCAACCGATTCTCCTGCCTCAGCCTCCTGAGTAGCTGGGATTACAGGTGCATGCCACCATACCCGGCTAATTTTTTGTATTTTTAGTAGAGACGGGGTTTCATCATGTTGTTTGGCTAGGCTGGTCTCGAACTCCTGACCTCAGGTGATCCACCCACCTTGGCCTCCCAAAGTGCTGGGATTATAGGCTTGAGCCACCAGTGCCTGGCCTTATTTCTTCTATTTATAGCACAGAGAATGCTGTTCTCAGCTGAGTCTGACCCCAGTGGAGGGCAGGCCCAGGCAGTTTGCTGCAACTCACCTGCAGCAGTGCCTCAACTGTGAAGTTAGGGAGTGGATGCTGCCCACTGCATTCCTCCTCCAGGACATCCCGGGAGGCCTGCGCCCCTCCCCCTGCCTGTGTGTCTGCCCCTGCCCATGTGTTCTCTTTTGCTTCCAGGGGCGGGAGCAGGATGTGAGTAGAATCCTCCAAGCCCTACACGAGTGCCTTGCTGCCCTTCCCCGACCCCAGCTCCGGAGCGTCGTGGGCATCGGGGTGTCGGGCCAGATGCATGGAGTCGTGTTTTGGAAAACAGGCCAAGGTATGCTGGGCTCGGGGATGCTCTCAGGCTGGTAGCAGTCACTTCCAGAACTAGAGCAGTGCTGTGCGGGGCTTTCTGTGAAGGGTCGGGTTATCCTGCAGTGGGAATAGGGTCTTGTTTCTTGGAGTGGACGAATACGTGCTGCCTCCTGCGTGGGTGAGCATTCTGTACCAATGTTAGGTGAACAAAGGAACTGCCCACTCCCACATCATCAGCACGTTATCCACGAACAGGCAGAGGGAAGAGAGTGTTTTCTCGGATTCTCCTGAAGGATTCAGCAGAGTGCATTTTCCATAGCTTTCTCTTTACCATGTCAGTATCTCAGAACATTAGTGCAGACAACCGAGAGACTGGCTATAGCTGCAGGAGATGCCAGGACATGGAGGGCATGCTTTTGAATTGGGGCACATTTGTCGTTGTTTACATATTTGTGATTTTGAAAATTCCAGGGCATATCTTTTTTTTTTTTTTTTTTTAAGGTGGAGTTTCACTCTTGTTACCCAGGCTGGAGTGCAGTGGCGCAAACTCAGCTCACTGCAACCTCTGCCTCCCGAGTTCAAGTGGTCTTCCTGCCTCAGCCTCCAGAGTAGCTGGGACTACAGGTGCCTGCCACCACGCCCAGCTAATTTTTGTATTTTTAGTAGAGACGGGGTTTCACCATGTTGGCCAGGCTGGTCTCGAACTCCTGACCTCAAATGATCCACCGGCAGCCTCCCAAAGTGCTGGGATTACAGGTGTGAGCCACCATGCCCGGCCGGCATATCCTTTTTATGGGTTCAGTTGCTAAGCATTTCTAGTTGGTTGTCTTATGAAGATCTGCCACAGTGCGGAGGTGGGTAACCTGTTCTATTTGGCCTTGAGGAGGAGAACCTAAGACAGTAAAACCACAATGAGCACTTCACATGCCTGGTGCCTGGCTGAGGACATCAGTTGCATGATCTCGTCGGATATTCCCAACAACCTGGTGACATAGATTACACTGTTGTCCCCATTGTGTGGATGAGAGGTTGAGGTTCAGAGAGGTTAGAATAATATGCTCAGGGTCATATTTCAGCAGGTGAACCCCACTTTTGAATCCAAGTCTGTCCGAGGAGCTTTTAAAGGCCTGGCAGGGTTGTTTTTGATGGAGGACCAGAGCTGCAAGGGGACACAGTGGCTCAGTGAGAGACTTCCCAGCAGAATGCCCAAGGATGAGGCTCCTGCAGGAAGTTGGGAGCTCCCTGTTATGGAAGGCATTAAAAAAACTTTTTAAGGCCGGGCATGGTGGCTCACACCTGTAAATCCCAACACTTTGGGAGGCCGAGGCAGGAGGAGTATTGCTTGAGGCCAGGAGTTCAAGACTAGCCTGGGCAACATAGTGGGACCCCATCTCTACAAAAGATGCAAAAATAAGTTGGGTGTGGTGCGACATGTTTATAGTCCCAGCTACTTGGGAGGCTGAGGTGAGAGGATCACTGGAGTCCTGGAGGTTGAGGCTGCAGTGAGCTGTGATTGCTCCACTGCACTCCAGCATGGGCTACAGAGCAAGACCCCGTCTCAGAAAGCAACGACAACAACAAATCAAACTTTAAAAGAAATTATATTGGCCAGGCACAATGGCTCACGCCTGTAATCCCAGCACTTTGGGAGGCTGAGGCGGGCAGATCACGAGGTCAGGAATTAGAGACCAGCCTGGCCAACATGGTGAAACCCCATCTCTACTAAAAATACAAAAATTAGCTGGGTGTGGTGGTGTGTGCCTATAATCCCAGCTACTTGGGAGGCTAAGGCAGGAAAATCACTTGAACCCGGGAGGCAGAGGTTGCAGTGAGCCGAGATCGCGCCACTGCACTCCAACCTGGGCGACAGAACAAGACTTCGTCTCAAAAAAAAAAAAAAGAAATTATGAAAGATTTAATTTAGACAAACAAAAATAGGGAGAACAGTACTGTGAACAGCATATACCCATCACTCAGCTTCAACAAAATCAACATTTTACTACAGATCAACATTTTAAGCAGAAGATGGACGGCTACTTTGGGGGGCTGTAGTTATGAGGATTTCAATATTGGATTCATCCCTCTCTACATGGAGAGTCGGCAATTTAGAGTGCCCTGAAGTGCACGGTGACCTGCCTGTCAGTGGGACTGGCATTTGGTGATGCACCGTTTAATCACTCCCAGGATGGGGCTGGGCAATCGTAGGAGCTGATGCAGGCTCTTCCTCCTCCCCTTCCTCCCTCCTGTCCGGCTATCATCAGACCCGCCGGGGCCGTGGGAGCTGCTTGGCACCGAGCAGTGGCGGGAGCAGAAGGCGATTAGGGTGTCAAGGCTAACCTCTCAGAGGGAGTCTAGGTTGTAAAAGCTTTTAAAACTCCTTAATTTTGCATTAATGAGAATAAATGTCCTTTTAATACTAAAACCCTTCCCAAAGAGGACAGCAGAGAGCTGATGATTGTGATCCGGTCACATGCCTTCCTTTCTGCCTGTCTCCTGGGCTCTCTAACAACCACACAAACCATCAGCCACATCGTTGGAAAGAGCTGCTTAATATTTTATTGAGCCAGCCCACATGCCTTCTGGGATTGTTTTCTGTTTCTGGGAAGGAGGAAAGCCACAGTGTGGTGATGGTGATACCTGCTTAGTGAAGTCAAGTGAAATCACATTTGGGATCCAGTCTTGTCGATTTTAATGGCAGCCTTAATTCACTTTGGTTTTCCTACCTACAACCTATAAAACGCTTTGCTAGGCCCTGGGGGAGAGATAGAAATGAAGGAATGCAGCCTCTACCTTCCAAAACACAGTCAACACAGATGGGCAGGAGTAACTTGAGCAGAGAGCTAAGTGCTTCAGTGAGGGCACCCGGAGCGAGCTGGAGGGGAGGAGACGGAGTGATTAGTGTCTTCTGAAAGGCCTGTGGTTACGCCTGTTTCCAAACTCCATTTTCAGGCTCAGTAAACGCAGAAGAGCAACCAGGATCATCAAAGAAAGCTAAAAGGCGAGCAGCAGACAGGGAGAAAATATCTGGTAGTGAATAGTGGACAAAGGACAGGTCAGCACGTGTAAAGAACCAGTAACTAAGAGAGAACAAGCAGCTCTGTGGAAAAACGGGTGAAGGATACCAATAGGTTACTCCTGGAAGAGGAAATACCAATGGCTGATAAACATCTGGAAAGATGTTCAGCATTGTTAGTCATTAGAGCTGTGCGGATGAAAACAACAAAGCATCATTTTCCACCCATTGGATGGTAAGAAATCAAAATGTTCCGTAATGTCGAGAGTTGGCAAAGGGAGTGGAAAACTGGTATTTTTTTTATTTTTTATTTTTTTTGAGATGGAGTCTTGCTCTTGTCACCCAGGCTGGAGTACAATGGAGCGATCTGGGCTCACTGCAACCTCTGCCTCCCAGATTCAAGTGATTCTCCTGCCTAAATTTCCCCTCCCAAGTAACTGTTACTACAGGCACCCGCCACCATGCCTGGCTATTTTTTTTTTTTTTTTTTTTGAGATGGAGTCTTGCTGTGTTGCCCAAGCTGGAGTGCAGTGGCGCAATCTCTGCTCACTGCAAGCTCTGCCTCCCAGGTTCACGCCATTCTCCTGCCTCAGCCTCCAGAGTAGCTGGGACTACAGGTACCCGCCATCACGCCCGGCTAATTTTTTTTTCGGTATTTTTAGCAGAGAAGGGGTTTCACCATGTTGGCCAGGCTGGCCTTGAACTCCTGACCTCAAGTGATCCACCCGCCTCATACTCCCAAAGTGCTGGGATTACAGGTGTGAGCCACTGCGCCCGATGAGCTAAGAGGTATTGAGGATACAAACAGAAGCACTAGCATCTAAATCATAAGAGACCAGAAAGGGAAAAATAAAAATGGAGAGGAGGAAATCTTTGAAGAAATAATGGAGAAAAATTTCCTATAATTGACAACATAAGATAGAACACCCCAGCCTGAAAGGGCCCATAGAATGTCAAAGAGGAGATAAAGACAACCCCCAGCTAGATATATTCTAGTGAACTTTTAAGGATTTCAAAGACAGAATTCCAAAAGCTTACAGAGCAAAAGATCAGATCCCATATGAAAGAATAAGGATCAGATTGACATTAGATTTTTTTCAACAGCAGCATTCTGTGTGAAAAGACAATGGAGTAGCATTTTTTTGTTTGTTTTGTTTTTCTGAGATGGAGCCTCACTCTGTTGCCCAGGCTGGAGTGCAGTGGTGCGATCTCAGCTCACTGCAACCTCCGCCTACTGGGTTCAAGCGATTCTCCTGCCTCAGCCTCCGGAGTAGCTGGGATTACAGGCACCCGCTACCACACCTGGCTAATTTTTGTATTTTTTGTAGAGATGGGGTTTCGCCATGTTGTCCAGGCTGGTCTCGAACTCCTCACCTCAGGTGATCCGCCCACCTTGGCCTCCCGAAGTGCTGGGATTATAGGCGTGAGCCACCGTGCCTGACCAGGAGTAGTATTTTGATGACCTATTGCGGCACAACAAACTACCTCCAACCTAGTGACTGAAAGCAACAAGCATTTATCATCTGTCATGATTTTTTGGGTCAGGGGTTGGGCAGGGCTCAGCCCACTGCTGCTTCTGCATGGTGGTGGTGGAGGTTGCTTGTTAGTGTTCAACTGGTGGACAGACTGGTCCAGGGGGTCACGGTGGCTTTACTCAATGCCTGGTACCTTGGTGGGAAGGCTGGAGGCTGGGCTCACCTGGAAACGGTCTGCCGGCTGCTCTTTGCCCGTGGTCTCCTCAGCATGGCGGCCTCGGCGTAGTCGCACTTCTTACCTGAAGGCTGATTCCCCCAGAGAGACTGGTGTAAGAGGCTTGGGCGGGAGCTGCAGTACTTCTTATGACCTAGCCTTGGGAGTCCCAAGATGTGACTGCCTCCACATTCTCCTGGTCAAGCACGTCACCAAGGTGATTCTATATTCAAGGAAAGAGGATTCAGATGCCACCTCTTAATGGGAGGAGTAGTGAAGAATTTGCAACAATCGACCACAAAAAGTGCTTTTAAGCATTGAAGGGAAGGAACTTAGAACCAGACTATTATAACTAATCAAACTGGCATTTAAAGATGGGAACATGAGAAATATTTGGTGGCATCTGGGCCTTCAGACACTGCCTGGAAAGACTGACACTGAAATTGGCCTTGGGAGAAATCACTGAATAAGGGCAGAGAAAAATCCAGAGGATGTCACAAGGCACAAATGAAAAAAAATCTGACGGTCAGATGATTTTAAAGTAAATTTGGATGTCTAAAAATCAATCAGGGCCAGGTGCGGTGGCTCATGCCTGTAATCCTAGCACTTTGGGAGGCTGAGGTGGGTGGATTGCCTGAGCTCAGGAGTTCGAGACCAGCCTGGGCAGCATGATGAAACCCTGTCTCTACTGAAAGTCCAAAAAATTAGCTGGGCGTGGTGGCGTGGGCCTGTAGTCTCAGCTACTCGGGAGGCTGAAGCAGGAGAATCGCTTGAACCTGGGAGATGGAGGTTGCAGTGAGCCGGGATCATGCCACTGCATTCCAACCTGGGGGACACAATGAGACTCTGTCTGAAAAAATTAAAATAAAATAAAATAAAATAAAACGCAATCAGCTAAGAACTAAGGAAAAGAGAAAATTTACTGGTAATCAAGTAGCAGTAAGCCTAGATAATGTCATGATGAGGGTTG
Source organism: Homo sapiens (assembly GCF_000001405.40). NCBI lineage: Eukaryota > Metazoa > Chordata > Mammalia > Primates > Hominidae > Homo > Homo sapiens. The sequence goes on along the minus strand of NC_000017.11, from coordinate 3,624,554 downwards.
GAGGGACAGAGACCAGGGGACTTGAGATTGTGCCAAACATCTTCTGAGATGTGGGGAGATATGATATCAACTTCAAAAAAGAATAAAAACAAACAGAGAAGTGGGGCAAATGGAGGGAGTATGTGACGTGCCCAGGGTCCCACAGTCATTATGTGGTAGAGCCAAGTACTAAAGCCAGTGCTATCAGGACCCATAGGTGTGCCAGGCTTTATCATGGGACGATTCGCACATATTTTGTCACTCACCAGCAGAGTAGTATCAAGGCCGCGCCATGCCTAGTCATTTGCTCTTTTCTTCATTTTTGGTCATCTCTTTTGTTCCAGGCTGTGAATGGACAGAGGGAGGGATTACCCCGGTGTTCGAGCCCCGAGCTGTTAGCCACCTGGTCACGTGGCAGGATGGCCGATGTAGCAGCGAATTCCTGGCCTCTCTGCCCCAGCCGAAGTCTCATCTCAGTGTGGCCACGGGCTTCGGCTGTGCAACCATCTTCTGGCTTTTGAAATATCGGTACGGGCAACTGCACTTTCACTCGGGTGCTGGGTTTCCGGGAGAATGAGAATAGGCCGGGGCTGCGTCAGCATCACCCCGCCTGCTGGGCTGTGCCGCAGTGAGTGTGTCCTGGCAGGACAGGATGCAGCATGGCCTGGACCTCGATTGGGTCCAGAACCACGTCCTTTTGCAGAGGGCTCTCTATTGGTTATCCAGTTCCCACCCACATAGGGAAAGGAGGGAACAGAGAGGGCAAGTGACTTGCCGAGGGTCACGGGGAGAGTTCGCAGTGTGTTCAGGCCTGCGAGGCTGCTGAGGAGGCTGACGTCTGCTTTTCCAGGCTTGACACTTCCTCCTCTCAGGCCCTTCCCCTGGGGCTGACTTAGGCTGGCTTTGCTTGGGGCAGCTGGGAGGTCCTAATCCCAGGGACCCAGCTGGACTTGAGCCATAGTATATGCGGTTGTGGCTGCCACCTGGCCATGGCACAGCTGGTCCCTGCTGCCTGCAGCTAGGTGCGGCACATGCTTCCGAGTTCATGTTATACCGTGTTGGTTGTTTTTGGTATGAAAAACAGCCCAGAGTTCCTGAAGTCCTACGACGCAGCCGGTACCATCCACGACTATGTGGTTGCCATGCTGTGTGGCTTGCCAAGACCTCTGATGTCCGACCAGAATGCTGCCAGCTGGGGCTATTTCAACACGCAGAGCCAAAGCTGGAACGTAGAGACGTGAGTATCACATCCTTGCAGGCTGTTCCTCCTGCTCCAATCTGAAGGGCAACCCCGGAGCCAGTGCTTCAGTGGGTGCTTTCCCATCTGGGAGTGGTGGAGGGTTCCCAGAGGCCAGGATCAGGGTCCAGTGCCCCTGGCCTGTCCCAGACACGGGGCATGGATGGGCCCAGTGTAAGCACAGCCCTGAGCCCTTGGGTAGGGGCCTCAGCCATGCTGTCCTGCTCCTCCACAGCCGCCCAGACCCCAGGTGGGCTCTCCCTTCTCTGTGACCATGAGCCCAGTCTGTAGGTTTCAGAGTACAGCTTTCACTCTTTAATACTTAAACTTAGAGAGCCAGGCGCGGTGGCTCATGCCTGTAATCCCAGCACTTTGGGAGGCTGAGGCGGGTGAATCACCTGAGGTCAGGAGTTCGAGACCAGCCTGGGCAACATGGCGAAACCCCATCTCTACTAAAAATACAAAAATTAGCTGGGCGTGGTGGAGTGCGCCTGTAATCCCAGCTACTCTGGAGGCTGAGGCAGGAGAATCACTTGAACCTGGGAGGCGGAGGTTGCGGTGAGCCGAGATTGCACCACGGCACTCCAGCCTGGGGGACAGAGCGAGACTCTTGTCTCAAAAAAAAAAAAAAAGAAAAAAGAACTAGAGATAGTAGGCTTGAAGGATGCCTTTTAAGTTCTTTTTGAACAATCATTTGCCTTTTCAGGTACAGAAGTCCAGTGCCCTGTAAGTTCACTTCCTTCAGGGCCCAAATTCTGAGCTCTGAAATAAAACAAAAAGCACCTGGTAGTTCAGGTAAAGGACTTTCCAGCATGTTGTGTGAAGTTGACAGCTTCCCATTCACTAACCCTGAGTGACTAACACGTTTGATATTCAGGAGCCTGCTGCATTTGACTTTGGTTTGGGCTGTGCTCACCAACCATAATGGCGCCGAACCTCCGGCTGCCTCCCTTTGCAGAGTTTTTGAGCTCCCTTCAAACATGGGAGGCTGGACTTGATCACGGCTGCCTATGTTGTTTGTTTTCTTTCCTGGAAGGTGAATCCTAAGCTTATGAAAGCCAGTGTACTCTATTGACAAAGCCTAAGCTCATGGTTTTAAAAAAGCCAGAGAAGCTGCCTGTGAGGGCACTGAATTCTATCCCCACTTCGGCCATGTGTGTCCTATAGCACTTTCCCATGCAGAGTTTCCTGGAAACAAACAAACAACAACAAAAAAGGAAAGCAGCTGGGTGTGGTGGTGCAGGCCTGTAATCCCAGCTGCTTGGGAGGCTGAGGTGGGAGAATTGCTTGAGCCTGGGAGGTTGAGGTTACAGTGAGCAGTGATCACACCACTCCACTCCAGCCTGGGTAACAGAGCTAGACCCTGTCTCAAAAAAAGAAAGAAGGAGCCGGGTGTGGTGGGTCGCGCCTGTAATCCCAGCACTTTGGGAGGCTGAAGCGGGTGAACGATGTGAGGTCAGGAGTTCGAGACCAGCCTGGCCAAGATGGCGAAACCCCGTCTCTACTAAAAATACAAAAATTAGCTGGGCATGGTGGTGTGCGCCTGTAATCCCAGCTATTAGGGAGGCTGAGGCAGGAGAATTGCTTGAACCTGGGAGGTGGAGGTTGCAGTGAGCTGAGATGGTGCCACTGCACTCCAGCCTGGGCAACAGAGCAAGACTCCATCTCAAAAAAATAAATAAGTAAAAAAGAAAGAAAGAAGGAAGGAAGGAAGGAAGGGAGGGAGGGAGGGAGGGAAGGAATGGAGAGAAGGAGGAAAGGAAGGGAGGGAAAGAGGGAAGGAGTAAAGAGAAGGGAGGGAGGGAGGAAAGGAAAGGAAGAAGGGAGGGAGGAATGGAGAGAAGGAAGGGAGGAAGGAAGGAAGGATCCCTTAAATTCCCGAAACCTAACTGTGGGTCCATGTGGGTGTCCACTTCTGTTTTACAGACTGAGGAGCTCGGGTTTTCCTGTCCACCTGCTCCCAGACATCGCCGAGCCTGGCAGTGTGGCGGGCAGAACTTCCCACATGTGGTTTGAAATCCCAAAGGGGACGCAGGTGGGAGTGGCCTTGGGTGATTTACAGGCCTCTGTCTATTCCTGCATGGCCCAGAGGACAGATGCAGGTAAGTTTTTCTTTTGTTCTGTCCTCAGACTTACACTGTCGCCTGCCTCATAAGCACCAGCTCTGTGCGAGTCTGCAGGGCACACAGAGCTTAGCAGTCTTGGCATCCTGCTGGAGATCATTATTCTGTAAAGATGAAAAGCACCCTTGTCCTTGCAGGTAAAATCCTCTATTGAGGGAGCTTACAGGCCAGCAGGGCAAGTTCTGTCCCTGAGCACCAACCATCTGTGCTGACCACCTCTGGGGCTGGGTGAGAGAAACGGCTCTTTCTAGCTTTCTGGTTTCTATGTGACTCCGGGCCCAAGAAAACAGATGAGCTGATGAGGGTTTTGGTTACTGTGTTGGAAGTGATGTCAGATCTGATTAGAAGTGCAGGATAGGCTGGGCGCGGTGGCTCACGCCTGTAATCCCAGCACTTTGGGAGGCCGAGGCAGGCGGATCACGAGGTCAGGAGTTCAAGACCAGCCTGGCCAAGATGGTGAAACCCTGTCTCTACTAAAAATACCAAAATTAGCCAGGTGTGGTGGTGGGTGCCTGTAATCCCAGCTACTCAGGAGGCTGAGGCAGAGAATCGCTTGAACCCGGGAGGCGGAGGTTTCAGTGAGCTGAGATCACATCACTGCACTCCAGCCTGACGACAGAGCGAGACTCCATCTCAAAACAAAACAAAACGGCCGGGCGCAGTGGCTCATGCCTGTAATCCCAGCACTTTGGGAGGCCAAGGCAGGTGGATCACGAGGTCAGGAGATCGAGACCATCCTGGCTAACACGGTGAAACCCCATCTGTATTAAAAAAAAAAATAGAAAAAATTAGCCAGGCATAGTGATGGGCGCCTGTAGTCCCAGCTACTTGGGAGGCTGAGGCAGGAGAATGGTGTGAACCCGGAAGGCAGAGCTTGCAGTGAGCCGAGATCGTGCCACTGCACTCCGGCCTGGGCGACAGAGCAAGACTCTGTCTCAAAAAAAAAAAAAGAAGTGTAGAATATTTTCTGTATTCATAGTAAGGGAATCATGGTGAGGTAGAGGCAGCTGTGTCTAGGGCAGGGATTGGCTCTTTTACTCTAAAGGGCAGAAAATATTTTCTGTAAATATTTTCGGCTTTGCGGATCATGCCGTCTCTGTTGTAACTGCTCAGCTGTGCTGTAGGAATTCAAAAGCAGCCATAGACGATATGTAAATGAGCGGGTGTAGCTGTGTTCCAATAAAACATTGTTCATAGACACTGAAATGGGAATGCCACATAATTTTCATGTGTCATGAAAAATTCTTCTTTTAATTTTTTTTCAACCATTTAAAAACGTGAGAACGTGGGACGATATGGCGCTTGGCGGCGCTGGGAGGCCGGAGCCCAGGGCTCGTGGCCATGTTGTCAGGTGCTCACAGGTAGACAGCAGAGGAGAGGAACCAAGCTATACTCAATCTTAAAGCAGCAGGATGGTCAGAATTAAGTGAGAGAGAGATGCCATCTACAAATCATTCTTCTTCCAAATTTTTTTTTTTTTTTTGAGATGGAGTCTCACTCTGTCGCCCAGGCTGGAGTGCAGTGGTGTGATCTCGGCTCACTGCAATCTCTGCCTCTGGGGTTCAAGCGATTCTCCTGCCTTGTCCTCCCGAGTAGATGGGACTACAGGCGCACACCACCATGGCTGGTTAATGTTTGCATTTTTAGTAGACACGGGGTTTCACCATGTTGGCCAGGATGGTCTCAATCTCTTCACCTTGTGATCTGCCTGCCTTGGCCTCCCAAAGTGCTGGGATTACAGGTGTGAGCCATCGTGCCCGGCCTCTCCGTCCAAATTTTTAATCAGGCATTTGGCTTTATGTCCCGAGTTGCCCTACAAGCAGAGAAGATGAATCATCACCCGGAATGGTTCAATGTATAAAACAAGGTCCAGATAACTCTCACCTCACGTAACTGTGGTGGACTGATCAAAAGAGATGTGAAGCTGGCCACGTTTATTGAAAAAGCAGCTTCTTCTGTGTGATTTCTTCCAAAATACATGTAAAATCTTACACACATCTTAGCTGCAACGTAGGCTGAAGGCAATTTACGTGAACAAATTGAGTTGTTCTTAAGGCATCATCTCTAGAGGCAGAAAAAAAAATAACAATTTAAGTTATGTAAATTTAGTTTGCCTTTATATACTATGTTTTGTAAAATCAGTGCTTATATACAAAATGATTAAACTTGAAAAAAAAAAAGTGAGAACATGCTAGTGGGATTGTAAAAAGGTACGGCCTCTTTGGAAAACAGCTGGTAGTTCCTCAAATGTTAAACGTGGAGTTACCACAGGCCCCAGCAATTCTGCTCCTAGAAATACACCCAGGAGAACTGAAAACAAATGATATCCACACAAAAAGTTGTACACAGATGTTCACAGCAGCATTACTTATAATAGCCAAAAAGTATAAACCATCTAAATGTCTGTCAACTAATGAATGAATTTTTTTTTTTTTTGAGATGGAGTCTTGTTCTCTCACCCAGGCTGGAGTGCAGTGGCACAATCTCAGCTCACTGCAACCTCCGCCTCCTGAGTTCAAGTGATTCTCCTGCCTCAGTCTCCCAAGTAGCTGAGACTACAGGCGCACGCCACCACACCCAGCTAATTTTTGTATTTTTAGTAGAGACAGGGTTTCACCATGTTGGCCAGGATGGTCTCGATCTCTTGACCTTGTGATCCACCTGCCTCGGCCTCCTAAAGTGCTGGGATTACAGGCGTGAGCCACTGTGCCCAGCCATGAATGAATTTTTATAATGTGGTATATACACATAGCTAAAAAAGGATTGAATGTTGGATAGAAGAAGTACATTTAAATTTTAAAAAGTTTATTTGGCTGGGTGCGGTGGCTTACACCTGTAATCCCCGCACTTTGGGAGGCTGAGGTGGGTGGATCATGAGGTCAGGAGTTCAAGACCAGCTTGGCCAAGATGGTGAAAACCCATCTCTACTAAAAATACAAAAAATTAGCCAGGTGTGGTGGTGGGCACCTGTAATCCCAGCTACTCGGGAGGCTGAGGCAGAGAATTGCTTGAATCCAGGAGGCAGAAGTTGCTGTGAGCTGAGATCGCGCCAGTGCACTCCAGCCTGGGCAACAGAGTGAGACTCTGTCTCAAAAACAAACAAACAAACAAAGAGTTTATTTGAAGATGCAGTGATTTGTGAATCATGGTAGCACCAGACTCCTAGCACTCTGCCAGGAGAGGCAAGAGGGGAAATTTTCATAAAGTATTTGCAGAAGCAAGACAAAACAATTTTGATAGGGCAGACAAAGCATTTTTTATGCCAAACAGGGATATCTTTCATTATTGCTCTGAGCTCAAGATTTTGACGAAGGCATAAGAATGCTTAAAAAGCAGATCTGGTTAATCTGAGAGCCTGACTTTTATAAACAGTTATCTAGTTCTCCTTTTTAATTTTTTTTTGACTTTGGGGTAGGAGGTAAACAGGCAAAAATGTCAGCAGATTCAGTGTAGGGAGAGGAAGGTACAAAGAAAGAGAGGTCAGAAACTTTTACCTGCCAATCAAAAATATATCCCATTGTTTCTGAGGTGTTTGGAATTGTTTGTTTGTTTGTTTAGGTTAAAACTTCCTTATGTGGCCACCAAAATTCTAAATTATTTTTGGTAAGATTCACTCATTTATCTAGAAAAGCAAATGTTCTGAGATGGAGTCTCAGACTCCCTGAATTTAAGTAAACCCATTATTTTCTGTCTTCCTGGAACCTTTTCTACTGGAGGTCTTTTACTAAACCCAATTTAGTTTCTGTCTGACCCAGTTGGACACCTGAAGCTTCCCTTCAGCACCTGTTCCAGTTTCTGTCATGGCTTCCAAACCCAGTCCAGATTTAAAAATGCCCAAATAACTCAGTGAACTCAACACAAGTTGTGGAGTTCATATGTCCAAGAGGGCTTACTGGAGAAGGCCTCCCAATGTGCAGCAGGAAGCAGTGAGTGCCAAGGCTCAGTGGGTACTTATGCCCGTTTGCTTGTTGCTCCCAGAGGTCATCGTGAGGTGGGTGGGTTCAGATCCCACTTACGACACCAGATCTGATTAAAGAAAAACTTGGCCGGGTGCATTGGCTCACACCTGTAATCCCAGCACTTTGGGAGGCTGAGGTGGGCAGATCACTTGAGGCCAGGAGTTCGAGACCAGCCTGGCCAACATGGTGAAACCCCATCTCTACTAAAAATATAAAAATTAGCTGGGCACAGTGGCGGGCACCTGTAATCCCAGCACTTTGGGAGGCCGAGGCAGGTGGATCACGAGGTCAGGAGTTCGAGACCAGCCTGGCCAACATGGTGAAACCCCACCTCTAATAAAAATACAAAAAATTAGCTGGGCGTGGTGGCGCATGCCTGTAATCCCAGCTACTTGGGAGGCTGAGGCAGGAGAGTCACTTGAACCTGGGAGGCAGAGGTTGCATGAGCGAAGATCGCGCCATTGCACTCCAGACTGGGTGACAGAGCAAAACTCTGTCTGAAAAACAAAAGCAAAAACAAAAGCAACAACAAAAAGAATACTTTGGAAATGAGCAAGAGTAGTATTCACTGCCAATGAATGAAACCTCCTCAGAGACTAAAGCCCTTGGTCTGAGGTCTTACCCTGTCATAGTTTTCTTTTGCTGTGTAACAAATTACCCTAATACATAGTAGCCTAAAACAACAGACATTTATTATTTTGGACAGTTTCTGAGGGTCAGGATTCTGAGTGGGGTGGGATGTCCTGGCTCAAGGTCTCTCGTGAGGTTGCATTCACTCTGGAGCTGCAGTCTTCCAAAGGCTTGATTGAGCCTGGAGGATCTGCCTCTGAGCCCACGCTTGATGCTGTTGGTAGAAGGCCTCAGTTCCCTGGCACGTGAGGTTCTCCACAGGGCTGCTCACGACGTGGCACCTGCCTTCCCCGAGAGCAAGTGATCCACAAGACAGCGTGACCGAGATAGGAGTCGCAGTGCCTTTTATGACTTAGCCTCTGAAGGCACACACTGTCTCTTGTGCTTTATTTTGTTCACTAGAAGTGAGTCACTAAGTCCAGCCCACTCTCACGTGGAGGGGAATCAGGTTCTACCTCTTGAAAGGAGGAGTATCGGCCGGGCACGGTGGCTCACACCTGTAATCCGAACACTTTGGGAGGCCGAGGTGGGTGGATCATGAGGTCAGGAGTTCGAGACCATCCTGGCCAAGATGGTGAAACCCCATCTCTACTAAAAATAAAAAAATTAGCCAGGCGTGGTAGTGGGTACCTGTAATCGCAGCTACTTGAGAGGTTGAGGCAGAGAATTGCTTGAACCTGGGAGGTGGAGGTTGTAGTGAGCCAAGATCGCACCATTGCACTCCAGCCTGGGTGACAGAGCGAGACTCTGTCTCAAAAAAAAAAAAAAAAAAAAAATTCCTTTGATCAACATCTCTTCAACACCTTGCCCTTCTAACTATCCTGGACATATTTTTAAAACCCCACCCTCTCTCAGTGCCAAATTGTGACTTGTGACCTCTGAGTTAGCCCGACAGGCCACCCCCTCTCACTGCCAAACTGTGACTTGTGACCTCTGAGTTAGCCTGACAGGCCACCCCCTCTCACTGCCAAACTGTGACTTGTGACCTCTGAGTTAACCCGACAGGCCACCCCCTCTCACTGCCAAACTGTGACTTGTGACCTCTGAGTTAGCCCGACAGGCCTAAGCTCTGCTCTCTTCGGACCCCAGTTCTCAACATCAGCACCTCGGTTCAGCTGGCAGCCTCCATGCCTTCAGGATTCCAGCCTGCACAGACTCCAGACCCTACGGCCCCAGTCGCCTACTTCCCATACTTCAACAGGACCTACCTGGGGGTGGCCGCGTCACTCAACGGGGGCAATGTGCTGGCCACGTTCGTCCACATGCTGGTTCAGTGGATGGCAGATCTAGGTAAGGTGTGGCCCACACAGCGCTGTGTTCTCTGCCTGTCCTTTCTACCCGGCAGGGTCTCGGAGCTTCACGGAGCTTCATGTGCGGTTTCAGCGTCCACATTGAGGTCTCAGACCCTGCCAGGTCCTGGCATATTTCTCCCATCCTTTGGGATCTGAGCTTGCAGCCTCTTTTCTTCTTGTCCTCCAAGCTGCCATCACCTACTCTTTTCTTTGGGTCAGGCACCCTTCCCCCAACCTTGACTGTGAACCTTCCTAACAGTCTCCCCAGCTTTCCCCCGCCCTCCCTGCTCCCTCTTTTCTCCTCCTGCTCCTTTCTCTTATCCTTGGGGTAGAATTTATGAAGTTTTCTCTGCTCTCCATGGACAGTTGCTCCTTGACTTACAATGGTGCGTATTTCACTTACAATGCACTTATATCCTGAGAAGCCTGGCCATAGGAAGTGCGATGCAGGCTTTTCTTCTTCTTCTTCTTCTTTTTTTTTTTTTTTGAGACGGAGTCTCGCTCTGTCACCCAGGCTGGAGTGCAGTGGCGCGATCTCGGCTCACTGCAAACTCCGCCTCCCAGGTTCAAGGGATTCTCCTGCCTCAGCCTTCCGAGTAGCTGGGATTACAGGCATGCGCCACCACGCCTGGCAAATTTTTGTCTTTTTACTAGAGATGGGGTTTTGCCATGTTGGCCAGGCTGGTCTTGAACTCCTGACCTCAGGTGATCCACCCGCCTCGGCCTCCCAAAGTGCTGGGATTATAGGCATGAGCCACTGTGCCTGGCCTGATGTAGGCATTTCTTTTCTTTTCTTTTCTTTTCTTTTTTGAGATGGAGTCTCGCTCTGTTGCCCAGGCTGGAGTGCAGTAGTGCGATCTCGGCTCACTGCAATCTCCGCCTCCCAGGTTCACGCCATTCTCCTGCCTCAGCCTCCCAAGTAGCTGGGACTACAGGCACCCGCCACCACACCCAGCTAATTTTTTTGTATTTTTAGTAGAGGTGGGGTTTCACCGTGTTAGCCAGGATGGTCTCAATCTCCTGACCTTGTGATCCACCTGCCTCGGCCTCCAAAAGTGCTGGGATTACAGGCGTGAGCCACTGCGCTCGCCCTGATGTAGGCATTTCTTAAAGAAGCACGGTGCGGGGTGGAACCCAGGAGAGTGACTTTGGTTCCCAGCTGTGTCCCTGAGTCATTATTTGGCCTTGGCAAGTCCCTTCCCTTCTTTGTTTTCCCATCTCCAGTGTCTTGTGGTCTTAAGTCCTTGGGTTAGAATTAACTCAACAGCTCATAGCAGCTTTCGCCTCCATTCGTCCTCACTAAATAGACTGGGGGAGCTGAGGACGCAGGCACTCTGCTAGAGGCCAGGCCTCTCTTCCAGGCCTCCAGCTGGTATGCACCTTCCTTCAGGTACCCCAGAGCTTGGGTCATGGCCCAAGTATTTCCCAGAGAGGAGGAAGAGTATGTTTTAACCTTCCCTTCCAACCTTTTTTGGCGCTGTGCATGGTGGCACGTGGCTGTAATCCCAGCTACTCAGGAGGCCGAGGCGGGAGGATTGCTTGAGCTCAGAGTTGTTCAAGTCCAGCTTGGGCAACATAGCAAGACCCTGTCTGTAAAAAAAAAAGAAAACTTTTTTTCCTGAACTTTTACTAAAGAAAGATAAGCACATGATTTAAAAAATAAAATAGCCAGGCGCGGTGGCTCATGCCTGTAATCCCAGCACTTTGGGAGGCTGAGGCGGGCGGATCACCTGAGGTCAGGAGTTCGAGACCAGCCTGGCCAATATAGTGAAACCCTGTCTCTACTAAAAATACAAAAGTTAGCCAGGTGTGGTGGCACACGCTTGTAATTCCAGCTACTCGGGAGGCTGAGGCAGGAGAGTCACTTGAACCCGAGATGCAGAGGTTGCAGTGAGCTGAAATAATACCACTGCACCTGTGCATTTGCAGAGGTTAAACATTCCCATGGCGTGACTCCTCAGTGACTCTCTAGATTGGTGGGTCTTGGCACTGACCACACCCTGGAAATACTGTGGAGTTTAAAAACATCGTTGCATCCTGGTCCCACGCCCAGAAATGCTGATTTATTGGACCTGGGGTGTGGGCCTTGAGCATGAGTTTTATAAAAGTTCCTCAGGTGATTCTGAGGCCTGAAGTGTTAATAAGCACTGCTCTAGAACTGTCTCCTCAGAAAGCCTGGTCTACTGGCCTGGAGTACAGTTTCCTCTGGGAGCTTTTAACAAATGCAGAATGTTAGGGTCAGCCCTAGGCAATCTGAGTCCAAGCTATGTGTTAAAAAGATCCCTGGCTGGGCGTGGTGGCTCACACCTGTAATCCCAGCACTTTGGGAGGCCGAGGTGGGCGGATCACGAAGTCAGGAGTTCCAGACCAGCCTGGCCAATATGGTGAAACACCGTCTCTACTAAAAATACAAAAATTAGCCTGGAGTGGTGGCATGCACCTGTAGTCCCAGCTACTCGGGAGGCTGAGGCAGAAGAATTGCTTGAACCTGGGAGGCAGAGGTTGCAGTGAGCCGAGATCGCGCCACTGCACTCCAGCCTGTGTGACAGAGCAAGACTCCGTCTCAAAAAAAAAAAAAAAAGATCCCTGAGTGACTCATCTGTATGTTCAGGTTGGAGAAGCCCTAGGCTGGAGAAGCCCTAGGTCTAGGTCGGGGGCTCCCCAGCGTGGCTGTGTATAAGAATCAACTGCAAGTGTTTACAAATTCCAGCCCGCAGCCTGCAACCCACACCAGTTAAATCAGAAAGTCTGGAGATGGGGCCCACAGTGCTCTCAAGAAACCCTGATGTTGATAACTTTCTTCTTATCAAGGTGATGTTTGCTTTCCCTCAGGTCATGCGAGGTTATAGATCAAAAGTGATTCTAAGGTCAAAGTGTATCGAAACCAAAGGCTTTTTTTTTTTTTTTTTAAGACTGAGTCTCGCACTGTCACCCAGACTGGAGTGCAGTGGCACCATCTCAGCTCACTGCAAGCTCTGCCTTCTGGGTTCAAGCGTTTCTCATGCCTCAGCATCCCAAGTAGCTGGGACTACAGGCACACACTGCCATACCTGGCTAATTTTTGTATTTTTAGTAGAGACAGGGTTTTACCATGTTGTCCAGGCTGGTCTGGAACTCCTGACTTCAAGTGATCCGCCTGTCTTGACCTCCCAAAGTGCTGGGATTACAGCGTAAGCCACCGCGCTTGGCCTTTTTTTTTTTTTCGTTTGTTTGTTTTAAGAATGCAGAGCTGGCGGGGCATGGTGGCTCATGCCTGTAACCCCAGTACTTTGGAAGGCTGAGGCAGGTAGATCACTTGAGGTCGAGAGCTTGAGACCAGCCTGTCCAATGTAGTAAAACCTTGTCTCTACTAAAAATACCACAATTAGCCAGGTGTGGTGGTGTGGGCCTGTAATCCCAGCTACCTGGGAGGCTGAGGCAGGAGAATCGCTGGAACCCGGGAGGCAGAGGTTATAGTGAGCCGATAGGATATGTGCCACTGCACTCCAGCCTGGGTGACACAGCGAGCCTCAGAAAAAAAAAAAAAAAAAAAAAAACCCGCAGAGCTAACGTGGTGTCAGGGAGAAAAGTCCGATCGGGATTCTGGCTTGACACTGAAAAGCAAGTTGTAGGATGGTCAACTCATCCTTCTTCCTTGGATTTCAGGTGCCCTGTGCACATAACGAGGGTGGCCCATTCAGTGATTGGTCCTGGATCCTGGGATTTCTGATGCTGCTAACGACCCCAATGACATCCATGATGATAGTTTTGTTTGTTTGTTTGTTTTAGATGGAGTCTTGCTCTTGTTGCCCAGGCTGGAGTGCAGTGGTGCAAGCTCCGCTCACTGCAACCTCTGCCTCCCAGGTTCAAGTGATTCTCCTGCCTCAGCCTCCTGAGTAGCTGGGATTACAGGTGCCTGCCACCACGCCCGGTTAATTTTTGTACTTTTAGTAGAGACAGGGTTTCACCACGTTGGCCAGGCTGGTCTTGAACTCCTGACCTCAGGTGATCTGCCCGCCTTGGCCTCCCAAAGTGCTGGGATTACAGGCGTGAGCCACCACGCCCAGCCAATGATAGTTATTAGTCTGTATATGCATTTGGTCCCCTTGGTTAAGAAGCCTGTGTTAGGGGTAGGGCTCATGGCAGCACTTAATGAGACCTCACCCTGATGTCTGGCTGGGGTCTGCACTGAGACAGCGGGCGGGGATCCAGGGCAGAGTGTAGCTAGCCTGGCTATAGCAGTCCCTGAGCCCAGAACCACCAGCTGCAGCGGGAGGAGAAGCAGCAAGTAGCGCTGTTCCCACCCTGTGGGAATTCTCTGCCATGTCAGCCTGCACTGAGGGGGACGCATGAGCTTACACAGATCTTCTCTGTCTCTGGCAGGCCTGGAGGTTGAAGAATCCACTGTGTATTCACGCATGATTCAGGCAGCTGTGCAGCAGAGAGATACCCACCTGACCATCACCCCGACAGTGCTGGGGGAGAGGCACCTGCCGGACCAGCTGGCCTCAGTGACCAGAATCTCCTCCTCCGACCTCTCCCTGGGGCACGTGACCCGGGCTCTGTGCCGAGGCATTGTTCAGAACCTGCACTCCATGCTTCCGATTCAGCAGCTCCAGGAGTGGGGCGTGGAGAGGGTGATGGGCAGTGGGAGTGCGCTGTCCAGGAATGACGTGCTGAAGCAGGAGGTGCAGAGGGCTTTCCCTTTGCCCATGTCCTTTGGGCAGGATGTGGATGCAGCTGTCGGGGCAGCTCTGGTCATGCTCCGGAGACACCTCAACCAGAAGGAATCTTAGACAGCAAACTCTTTCGCCAAACGACTGCTGTGAATTTTACCTGATTAACATTCCTGACACCATCTGTGGGTCATCCTTTCCCTGGACCGTTCAGTGGACAGCTTTCAAGCAGTGCTTGTTGTGAGGTCCCATCTCGGCCAAGAACTTACCTTCAGAACATACTCTAATAATGCAGCCAGGAGCCGTCAGCCAGATCCCAAATGAGTGCCTTCCGAAATTGACCCACCTGGGAGCTATTTACAAATGTCCATGTGGGAGAGAGAGAGCATGAGAGCACAGTAGCCCAGCCTGCTGGTCAGCAGGCTCATCTGTGGTTCACCTGTAGACAGAGAGCAGATCAATGTGTACTTCAGACACCAGAAAGTCTGGTGGCTTTGGTCCCAAGTGGGAAAAGAGAACTGCCCCATGCCCAGCTTGTGATTATCGTTTTTGGAGACCTGAAGCCCACACTCGGGTCGTATGGACTTCTGGAAAAGTTCTTGTCTCCTGGACTGAACCATGTGACCGGAGGCCCCTTTCCTAGTCTCATCCTCCCCTGGCTGCAGATGCTTAGCTGGGCCAGGGATTGACCCAAGCGCGATGCAGCAGGCAGGCTCAGAAGACGATGCGGGGCTGTGTGCCGGCCTTCTTGCTGCATGTACTCAGCCTCAGGAGAGCTTGCTGCACCCAGGCCGCCCAGGTCTTCACAGCACAACTGCCTGGAAGGCAGGTTGCGAGAAGGAGAGGCGGATGGCATGAGCAGCAAGGGGGACCGATGCTGTGCAGCTCACACCACTCCAGAACCTGACAAGGCACCAGCAGGACCCCTTGCCAGGAGCATGTCTGTGCAGCAGTGTTTTTGCCCCTGCACATTCCAGAAGCCCTCATGGGAAGGGATGCAGCCAGGCAGACTCCTGCCAGATGGGGCAGGTAGTTTATTCAAAGAGAACTCTGTATCCCATAGGCCCAGGCTCTCCTTTCGCTTGGCGTGGGCTTTGCTGGCCCAGTGTGTGCTCCTGGCTCAGCAGAAACATCCATTTGAGTTGGCATCCCTGTAGGGATCCCAGAGCGTTGTAAGCCTTCTTGTGATTGGTAGGGATGGCTGTGGGGTGGCTTCCAGGAGGGGGCCACCATTGCCGCATCTACTTCTAGACTCCCAAAGGAGCCCAGGCTCAGGCAGGCCTGGCCCAGAGTCACGCTGGCAACCACGAGTTTGGGAAGCAGTCGTATTCTCTCTCTCTCTCTCTCTCTCTCTCTCAGTATCCATGACAGGTATGAAACATATTGTCTCTTTATAAATGTCATTTTACAAATTATGTGATTATCTGGAAGCTCTAAGATGAGAGCAAATGCCTGATCACTCTGGCCAAATGTCAGATACTAAAGCCCATTCTTGGCCGGGCATGTTGGCTCCCGCCTGTAATCCCAGCACTTTGGGAAGCCCAAGTGGGTGAATCACCTGAGGTCAGGAGTTCAAGACCAGCCTGACCAACATGGGGATACCCCGTCTCTACTAAAAATACAAGCCGGGCGTGGTGGCGCATGCCTGTAATCCCAGCTACTCAGGAGGCTGAGGCAGGAAAATCACTTGAACTCGGGAGGCAGAGGTTGCAGTGAGCTGAGATCGCGCCATTGCACTCCAGCCTGGGTGACAGAGCAAGACTCTGTCTCATAAATAAATACAAAGCCCATTCTTCCAGAGTCTTGTGCCTTAAATAAAACACACCTCTCTGCTGTGGGAAGACTGTGCAATGGCACAGCCGCAGAGCTTGGTTTGGGAGGTTGAAGTGCTCTGGGGAGAATTCGTAGATCATCCTCAGAAAAGCCTTGCCCTGGTGTTCTACCAGAAAAACGTCTCCCAATCACCCAGGAAAGCTGTCCACAGTAGTCCCCCCTTATCCACGGTGTCACTTTCCATGGGTTCAGTTATCTGCGGTCAACCACGGTCTGACAATATTAAATGGAAAATTCTTCAAACAGTTCCCAAGTTTTCCCTTGTGCATTGTTCTGAGCAGTGTGATGGAGAGTCTCTGCCGTGCCATCTGGGATGCAAACCGTCCCTGTGTTCCCCACGTCCAGGCCGTAGATGCTCCCCGCCGGTCAGTCACTTAGTCGTCAGATCGCCCGTCCTGGTATCACAGTGCTTCTGTTCAGGTCAGTCTTTTTTTACTTCATTAGGGCCCCAAAGCACCAGAGTAGTGATGCTGGTAGTGATGCTGGCTGTTCGGATATGCCAAAGAGAAACCGTAAGGTGCTTCCTTTAAGTGAAAAGATGGGAAGAAAACAGTCATATGCTGAATCTTCTATCTGTGAAATTCTAAAGAAAAAGAAATTCGTGCTAGTTTTTTTTGCCTTTTTTTTTTTTTTTTTGAGACATAGTCTCACTGTGTCACCCAGGCTGGAGTACAGTGGTGCAATCTTGGCTCACTGCAACCTCTGCCTCCCGGGTTCAAGCGATTCTCTTGCCTCACCCTTCTGAGTAGCTGAGATTACAGGCTCCTGCCACCACGCCTGGCTAATTTAGTTTTAGTAGAGATGGAGTTTCATCATGTTGGCCAGGCTGGTCTCGAACTCCTGACCTCAGGTGATCCACTTACCTTGGCCTCCCAAAGTACTAGGATTGCAGGCGGGAGCCACTGACCCCAGCCTCATGCCAGTTTTGCTGTCACACCTCAAACTGCAAAAGTATGGTCACAGTGTGTGATAACTTTTATTAGAGTGTATTGTTAAAACCGTTCTACTTTGGCTGGGTGTGGGGGCTCACACCTGTAATCCCAGCACTTTGGGAGGCCGAGGCGGGTGGATCACCTGACATCAGGAGTTTGAAACCAACCTGGCCAACGTGGTGAAAACTCGTCTCTACTAGAAATACAAAAGTTAGCTGGGCATGATGGCACGCGCCTGTAATCCCAGCTACTTAGGAGGCTGAGGCAGGAGAATCGCTTGAGCTCTGGAAGCAGAGGTTGCAGTGAGCTGAGATCGCACCACTGCACTCTAGCCTGGGTGACAGAGCGAGACTCTGCCTCAAAAAAAAAAAAAAAATTGTTCTACTTTATTGTTGTTGTTAATCTCTTACTGTGCCTAATTTGTAAATTAAATTATATTACAGATATGTATGTGTAGAAAAAACATGGCATATGCAGGATCCAATACTAGCCTTGGTTTCAGGCATCTATGCAGGGTCTTGGGACATATCTCCTGTGGATGACAGGGGGCTACTGTATTTTTTTTTTCTTTTAGGCAGAGTCTCCCTCTGTCGCCCAGGCTGGAGTGCAGTGGTGCGATCTCAGCCCACTGCAACCTCCACCTCCCGGGTTCAAGCAATTCTTGTACCTCAGCCTCCCGAGTAGCTGAGATTACAGGCATGTGCTACCACACCTGGCTAATTTTTGTATTTTTAGTAGAGATGGGGTTTCACCATGTTGGCCTGGTCTTGAACTCCTGACCTCAGGTGATCCACCTGCCTCAGCCTCCCAAAGTGCTGGGATTACAGGCGTTAGCCACCATGCCTGGCCTGCTACTGTAATTTTTCTTTCAGCCAAATGAGTTTAAGATGCTGTCATTGCAGCCCTGAGGAAGGCTGCATGAGAGAGAAGAGTAGGCTGAGTTTACCAGCGTCCTTTGTCTTTTGGGAGGAGCCAGGCCGTCTAATCTCAGAGTGGCAGCCTGTCTCGCCTGCCCAGCATGCAGTGGATGGGGTCTGCAAATGTAAGGTTAGGAACGGGATGGACATCCAGCAAGCTCAGGCAGCCCAGCCTTGTGCCTGGTGTGGCCCCGGAACTCTCTGTCCTCTTTCCAGACTATGCATTCACTCTGCCTCTGAGGACTGAGCCTTGGAGGGTCCCAGTTTGTCAATAAACAGGGCTGCTCCTGCTGCTTCCGTTGCCTGAGGCCTGGAGCCTCCGTCTAGGTGGGGGATGAGTGCAGCTGCCTGAAGTCACAACCACGTGCACAACCCACCCTCCTTCCCAGGAGGTGCCAGTAAGTGGTTTGAGGCCGGCATGCTTCTGAAGAAGTGGTGAGCGGGGCTCCTTTGCTGGCCGTCAGTATCCCGATGCTATGAGCCCACGGCAGGGCTGCACCTTCCCCCCGATCCGCTTCGGCCAGTGGGACGTGCACAGGGAATGCCTGTCACTCCTGGGCAGAGGTCTTTAGGAGCCAGTGAGCTACTTGCCACACACCCTTCCCTTTGCCACAAGTGACTGGCAGTGCCCCAGAGAGTGGTAGCTCTGTCAGCCTGGGTCCCTGAGTGAGGACAGTGTGGTGTAGAGTTCTCACCAACCAGCGAGGGACGTGCAGTGGGACAGAGAAGTAAGCGCCCTTTGGTGCAGTGCCTCACACCTGTAAACCCAGCACTTCGGGAGGCCGAGGAGGGCGGATCACTTGAGGTCAGGAGTTCCGAGACCGGCCTGGCCAACATGGTGAAACCCCGTCTCTACTAAAAATACAAAAAAATTAGCCGGGCATGGTGGTCGGCACCTGTAATCTCAGCTACTTGGGAGGCTGAGGCAGGAGAATCGCTTGAGCCTGGAAGGCGGAGGTTGCAGTGAGCTGAGATCATGCCACTGTACTCCAGTCTGGGAGACAGAGCGAGATTCTGTCTTTAAAATAAATAAATAAATAAATAAATAATAAACCTTTGATGTTTGAAGCCACTGAGATTTGGGGGTTGTCACCACAGCAGAGCAGCCTCAGTAGCCTGCACCTGGGACGTCTCCCATGCACCCAGCACAGACCCAGGCAGCCACATTTTCTGAGCGCCCAGTAGTAGCTGGGTGTTCTCTCAGAGACTGCCCCCCGTTGAATTTCCATCACGAGGCAATGGAAAAATACCAACAGTTGGTTACATAAACAGACCCTAGGAAAAGAAAAAGACACAGACAATGACAGCACCTCTATGCCCAGAGGGAGGAGAAATTCATTCTTTACACAAGTCACATTGAGCTAAACCTCCAAGGGTTTCCATCCATGGTTACTAACGACAGTTAACATTTCTTTTTGAGTACCTGCTGTGTACTGGGATCTGATCTAAACTCTACTTGTTTGAATTCATTGAATCTTTTTTTTTTTTTAAATGGAGTCTCACTCTGTTACCCAGGCTGGAGTGCAGTGGTGCGATCTCAGCTTACTACAACCTCAGCCTCCCGGGTTCCAGCAATTCTCATGCCTCAGCCTCGCGAGTAGCTGGGATTACAGGTGTACACCACCTCACCTGGCTAATTTTTTGTACTTTTAGTAGAGACGGGGTTTTGCCATGTTGCCTAGGCTGGTCTTGAACTTCTGGCCTCAAGTGATCCACCCACCTCGGCCTCGGAAAGTGCTGGGATTATAGGCATGAGGCACCATGCCAGGCCTCATTTAATCTAGAAGGTGGGTAGTGTTATCCCCATTTCACACATGGAGAGATAGATAAACAAAAAAGTTAAGTAACTTACCTGAGATCACAGTGCTAGGATTCAAACCCCAGAGCGAACCCACTCTCTTTAGCAACTAGGCAGTGGGGTCAGGCTAGGTAAATGTGTTTACATTAAAGTGATCGTCATGTCCAGAGTGTGACAAATTGGTGTAACTTGGTCATAGTGTGAATGGAAGGATGTTTATAGGAGTTGTGGCTGGACGTGTTGGGCAGACTGTGAAGGGTCTTGCATGCCCGCCTGAGGGGATTGGACTGTCTCCTGTAGACAGTGGGGTTTGGAGGACTGGGGCCTTGGGAGTGTAGCTGACAGTGTGGACGCTGGATTGGAGGAAGGGTGTTCTGGGAGACAGGAGGCTGTAAAACAGCCTGGAGAGATGGTGGGCCAGACCCAGTTCAGGGCAGGGTAGGGGACTCCAGCCCACCAGCCGCTGCTTTTCCTCCCGCCACACACTGCCTGCCTCTGGGCCTTGACCCCGTCCACATCATGTGTATGTGGCTTTCATGTTCTCTACTTTTCTCTTCTTCTTCTTTTTTTCTTTTTCTTTTTCTTTTTTTTTTTTTGAGACTTTTTGAGAGTCTTCCTCTGTTGCCCAGGCTAGAGTGCAGTGGTGCGATCTTGGCTCACTGCAACCTCCGCCTCCTGGGTTTAAGCAGTTCTCCTGCCTCAGCCTCCTGAGTAGCTGGGATTACAGGTGCCTGCCACCACACCCAGCTAATTTTTGTATTTTTAATAGAGACGGGGTTTCACCATGTTGGCCAGGCTGGTCTCAAACTCCTGACCTCAGGTGATCCGCCCGCCTCAGCCTCCCAAAGTGCTGGGATTACAGGCATGAGCCACCACGCCTGGCCTATTTTTCTCTTCTTCTGAAGTGGACTGAAAGCTCTTTGAGAGCAGGTGCCTAGGTGTCCTCAGCCCTGTCCTCCTGCACCTTAGCTCATGCCAAGGCCCATGTTTGGAATGTCCTCCTTGTGGGGCAGAATCCTTCTCCTTGTCCAAGGCCCAGCCCAAATGGCATCTGCCCTCTGCAAAGGGCCTCCCTGGTGACACATACGCCATCTGATTACAACTGCAGGGGAGGCCAAGACCCGGCTCAACATTTGTTGTTGGCATGGTCTGTTGGCCCCAGAGCCCCTGGCCTGTGCCTGTTACAGGGTGCCCTGCCCTGCCTAGTGTCAAGAGAGAGCCTGTGCACATCTTCCTTTCCTGTCCATCGTGGGCTTCTTGAGCGCAGAGACCACCCTGTTGACCCTACTGCTCTGCTAGGGGATTTGTATAGCACATGGTGGGCCCTCAGGAGAGAGGGTCTCACCTGGCCTCTCCCCTCAGCCACAGGTAGATGGACAGGCCAAGTCTTTGAAAGTGGGAGAGTCCTGATACAGAGATGCTCACTTGCGTGACTCATCAAACATTAAGCAAACCTTGTTTTTTTCATTAAAAAACAATTAGTCATAACTTCGAGCTAATGGCCGGATACAGCTCAGCAGTCAGCAGATGTGGTCCTCAGGCTGAAATAATGAAGATGAGAGCAGTCATCTCTCATGCCTGCCTAGAGCTTTACCAGGCTCAGAGCCCATTCACACCCACTATCCTGACTAATCCCAGAAAAGCCTCGTAAAGCAGGTAGGGCAGGTGTTCTTGGCTGTAATTTTGTGGAGGAAGAAGTAGACCCAGAGGTTCAGCTACCAGCCGGAGTCCATACAGCCGGCATCTAGCACACGCGGGCCTCTTCCATCCAAGGTCCAGGTTCTACCCACCTGCTGACCCTCCATTGGCCCTCGTCCCTCTTGTTCCCAGTCCCTGCCCTGGAACACAGCTCTGCAGAGCGGGGCTCCAGCGTTCTGTGCTGACTGGGTGTCTGACCCCTCCCCAGCTCAGACTTCAAGCTCTAGCCACTTCTGGAGGGTGCTGACCGGCTCGCAGACCGCTGCCCTCCACGGAAGCTGGTCTTTTAGACTCTTGGGCACCCGGTGACAGGAACACAGAGACGAAATGCAGGAAGGAGGGTATTTTTCTTTTTTTTTTTAATTTTAATTTTAATTTTTTGAGATGGAGTTTTGCTCTTGTTGCCCAGGCTGGAGTGCAATGGCGTGATCTCAGCTCATGCAACCTCCACCTCCTGGGTTCAAGTGATTCTCCTGCCTCAGCCTCCCGAGTAGCTGGGATTACAGGCATGCACCACCACGCCTGGCTAATTTTGTATTTTTAGTAGAGACGGGGTTTCTCCATGTTGGCCAGGCTGGTCTCGAACTCCCGACCTCAGGCGATCCACCCGCCTCGGCCTCCCAAAGTGCTGGGATTACGGGCGTGAGCCACTGAGGCCGGCTGGGGCTCGAATCTTGAGAGGAACCCAGGTGAGTGAAGAAAAGAAATTTGTCTCCGATGGCCAGTGTCAAGAGCTCAGCTTAATGTCAAGAACTCAGCTTAAGTCAATGTGCCCCCTAGTGGTAACACTAAGAGAAAACTGTCACCATTAGCGACGGTGGCGGTGTTTAGCATCTGCCATTCCAGATTTGGCCCAGCCGCTGGCTGGCGCGTCCGCAGACGCTTTCCTGAGCTGCCTCTCGCTCCCATCAAACCTGAACTTAGAAAACCACCCTCCCTCCCAGAAGTCATTAAAACTTTTCTACTCACAAGGAGTTTTAATGGGTACATCATTACATAAATGCAAGAACATCCTGTTTCAAATGATGACCCAGAAAACCACACTGATGGCAGTGATGGCCAGCCCTGAGGTCTTGTCCCCGCCACCATGTCGAGAGTTTTAGTGGAATCACTCCGTGAAGGTGCTGTTCAGATAAAGCCAAAAACCACGCCAACAAACGTTTCCTGAGTGCTGCTTTGAGCAAGGTGCAAGCTAGGTTCAGAGAGGGGAGGGCACGAGAGCCGTATGTATCTCACCCTGGAGCTGCTTAAATCTGCAAAGCAAGACACAAGAAAATCATGACGTTACATGTCTATACAAGATTTAGAAAGCTCCAGACGAGACTAGTAGAGCTGTCACTGTCCTTCGGCAGGTGTGTAGCCTGTCTGTGCTTCTTTCCTTATCAGTAAAACGGGGACAAAATTGTACTCACCTCATGAACTCTTACTGAGGTCTGATGAGATAGTGCATATAAAGTGCTCATGCCAACACCCAGGACGTTGTACGCACTCAACACATATTCACAGCCATTACTGTTGTCATCATTGTGGCCATGAGTACTGTGCCCGTTGCCATAGGAAGCGCATTGGTTGAAGTTCCTGTAGGAGTTTAGAAGTGAGCACTTCTGGAGTTGGGCGTGGTAGCTCATGTCTGTAATCCCAGCATATTGGGAGACTGAGGTGGGGGATCACGTGAACTCAGGAGTTTGAGACCAGTCTGGCAAGATGGCGAGACTCTGTTGCTACCAAAAAAAAAAAAAAATCCGAGCGTGGTGGTGCACACCTGTAGTCCCAGTTACTTGGGAGGGTGAGGCAGGAGGATCCTTTGAGTCCAGGAGGTGGAGGCTGCAGTGAGCTATGATTGTGAGTCCCTTGCATTGGGTGACAATGCAAGATACCACCTCTTTAAAAAAAAAAGGTGAGAAATGAGCTCTTTATGCTGGGGCCTTTGGGAGAAGGTGGGATTTGAGCATCCCTAGGGCTCACCTCGCACTTGAAGATGGGTTAAGTGGGGTACTGGGATGGAGGAGGGTGGGGGAAAGGGTGGAGTCAGCACGTTTAGTGTGGCTGGGAAGGGGTGTGCCCAGGTGACAGAAGGTGGGTTTCGGTGGGAGAGGAGACTGGGTCTGTGGGCTCAGGGTGCGGGGGTGGGGCGTTGCTCAGCAGTGGGGACCCCTGAGAGGCAAGGGGGCCTGATCAGGATGAGCTTCCAGGACTGTTGATCTGGAGGTGAGGGGTTGTGGGAGGTTGGACCAGGGAAAGGAGGCACTTCTGGTCATTCAGGTGAGAAGAAGGGGCTCCCAGGTAGAGGAGGGATGGACGGAAGCCACAGAAACAGCCCAGGGAGGGCCGAGAAGGAGAGGCTGGAGGTCACAAAGGGCACCGGGTTTGGTGGCCAGAAGGAAGTTGATGCCTTTCCAGGCAGGGACTGCTGCAGGGAGCGGGAGGGGAGTGAATGTGGAGGGAACAGGAGCCCATTGTGGGTTATGCTGGGGGGAGGGGGCTTGTGGGCTTCACCTGCAGATTCAGGGAGGCAGGGATGGAGCTCAGGGAAGAGGGCTGGGTGGACTCTGGATGAAGCAGCCGCTGACTTGGACACATCAGAGAGGTCCTTGGGAGGGGCCAGGCGAAGGTCTCCAAGGACAGTGGTGGAGCTGGAGAAGATAAGGCTGCGGACGGGGTCCTTGGACCCCCAGGTGTGGGGAACGGCAAGAAGAGGAGAGCAGCCAGGGAGTCCCGGCAGGAGTGGCCAGGGCAGGAGGAGGGCCGGGACTTCCCCTGCAGGCCTCTGAGCAGGCACTGTGCCCTGTAGACTCCGGTGATACTGTTAGCACCAAGGGCTCTGTTAACAAAGAGGACAGGACACATTTAGTGATGTGTGCTGTGTTCACTGGAAATGGTGCTGTCTTTTGTTTTGTTTCGTTTTGTTTTTTTTAAATGGAGTCTCGCTCTGTAGCCCGGGCTGGAGTACAGTGGTGTGATCTCAGCTCACTGCAACCTCTGCCTCCCAGGTTCAAGTGATTCTCGTGCCTCAGCCTCCAGAGTAGCTGGGACTACAGGCGTGCACCACCACGCCCAGCTAATTTTTTGTATTTTTAGTAGAGACAAGGTTCCACTATGTTGGCTAGGCTGGTCTTGAACTCCTGACCTCAGACAGTCCGCCCACTTCTGCCTCCCAAAGTGCTAGGATTACAGGCTTGAGCCACCGTGCCCGGCTCCGTGCTGTCTTTATTGGAGGCAGAAATCACTTTGGAGGCTAAGGCAATGGTTCTGGAGAAGAAGCATGACCATCCCCTTTCCCAGCCATTGCTCTATCCCACATTGTTAGAAGGAAATGATCCCAGAGGACTAGAAAGTTGAGAGGTCACCACTGCTGAGTCTTTTATATATGACAGATCCCACTTCTGGGTCTATATGTGCCCAAAAGAATGGAAAGCAGGGACAGGACCAGATATTTGCACGCCTATGTTCATAGCAGCACTAGTCACTATGGCCAAAGGTGGAAGCAAGCCAAGTGTTCATCAGCTGGTGAATGGATGAGCAAAATGTGGTCCATCCATCCCACGCCCCAGTGGAATATTACTCAGCCTTAAAAAGGAAGGAGGGCTGGGTGTGATGGCTCATGCCTGTAATCCCAACACTTTGGGAGGCTGAGGCAGGTGAATCACAAGGTCAGGAGATCGAGACCCGCCTGGCCAACATGGTGAAACCCCATTTCTACTAAAAATTAGTTGGGTGTGGTGGCATGCACCCGTAATCCCAACTACTCGGGAGGCTGAGGCAGAAGAATTGATTGAACCAGGGAGGTGGAGGTTGCAGTGAGCTGAGATCACGCCATTGCACTGTAGCCTGGGGGACAGAGTGAGACTTCATCTCGAAAAAAAAAAAAAGAAAAGAAAAAAAGGAAATTCTCTTACAGGCTACTACATGGATGAACCTTGAGGAAATTATGCTAAGTGAAAGAAGCCAGTCACAAAAAGCAAAGAGACAAATACTGTATGATTCCTGACCAGAGGACTCCTAGAATAGTTAAATTCATAAAGACAGGAAGTTGAATGGTGGTCGTTAGGGGGTTGGGGTCGGGAAGGGGAGTTAGTGTTTAATGGGTGCAGGGTTTCAGTTTGGGATGATGAAAAAGTTCTGTGCATGGATGATGCTGATGGTTGTACAACAGTGTGAATGCACTGAGTGCCACTGAACTGTACTGTTAAACATGGTTAATACGGTAAATTTTGTTATATATATTTTGCCACAACTTATTATAATATATAAATATATATTTTGAGACAGAGTTTCGCTCTTGTTGCCGAGGCTGGAGTGCAATGGTGTGATCTTGGTTCACTGCAACCTCCACCTCCCGGGTTCAAGTGATTCTCCTGCCTCAGTCTCCCGAATAGCTGGGACTACAGGTGCCCACAACCACGCCCAGCTAATTCTGTATTTTTAGTAGAGATGGGGTTTCACCATGTTGGTCAGGCCTGGTCTCAAACTCCTGACCTCAGGTGATCCACCTGCCTCGGCCTCCCAAAGTGCTGGGGTTACAGGCATGAGCCACCGCGCCCGGCCTTTTGCCACAATTTATAAACAAGAATGAATTCTAACGTTCATATTAATTGAAGCTAACATGACACACATAGCATAAACAGGTGTCTAAGCGGCCAGGCGCGGTGGCTCACGCCTATGATCCCAGCACTTTGGGAGGCCGAGGCAGGTGGATCACTTGAGGTCAGGAGTTTGAGACCAGGCCTGACCAACATGGTGAAACCCAGCCTCTACTGAAAACACAAAAATTAGCCAGGCGTGGTGGCACGTGCCTGTAATCCCAGCTACTTGGGAGGCTAAGGCCGGAGAATTGCTTGAACCTGGGAGGCAGAGGTTGCAGTGAGCCGAGATTGCGCCATTGCATTCCAGCCTGGGAGACAGAGCGAGACACCATCTAAAAAAAAAAAAAAAAAAAAAGTGACTAAGCGAGGGGTATGGTGGGGTGTGGCGTGGTGGGATGGGCCTGGCTTTTATGCCTAGACCAACGTGCGGCCTGGGCAATTATCTAATTATCGGTTGTCTAATTGCCCAGCGTCACACATTTCTCACCTGTAAAATGGGTATGACAGTCTCTGCCCTCCCACTGCCCGGGGTTGCTGTACGGCCTGCGAGAGCGGGTTTGGGAAAGCTCTTTGTCAACTGCTGTGCGGAATTGATGGGGTGGCCACACTTCAATGCCTTGACTCAGGGGTCAGAGCTTTCAAGCGACCCCAGGCAGGGTTACGAGGGCCTCCCTGGCAGTGGCTGCTTATTCCAGGCTGGACCTGCCCTACGGCTTGTTGGCGTCCCGCAGGCAGCTGCTAGGATGGTTTTTGCAGGGCATTTGGGCCGCAGCCTGGATGCATACCTAGACCTCACTGTTTTTCTCAGCCAGGGTCTGGGAGAGAATGAAACCTATTGTTCTAGTTATCTGCTGTATGTGACTCTCTCCTGTGCGTTTCTCTCTTGTGGGTCTTCTCTCCTGTGCATTTAGGGTGGTATGAAGTGAAGAGAGAAAATAGACACTTGTGGCCGGGCGCAGTGGCTCACGCCTGGAATCCCAGCACTTTGGGAGGCCGAGGCAGGTGGATGACGAGGTCAGGAGTTCAAGACCGGCCTGGCCAACATGGCGAAACCCTGACTCTACTAAAAATACAACAATTAGCTGGGCGCAATGGCAGGTGCCTGCAATTGCAGCTATTCGGGAGGCTGAGGCAGGAGAATCGCTTAAACCTGGGAGGTGGAGGTTGCAGTGAGCTGAGATCGCGCCATTGCACTCCAGCCTGGACGACAGAGTAAGACTCTGTCTCAAAAAAAAAAAAAAAAAAAGGAAATGACACTGATAGTTATCTGTGTTTTGTGGTTCCCTGAGGAACCCCCAGTTGAGAAGAAAGGCTGGGACCTGGCTGACCCAGAAGACCCCCTCGACGCCAACCCCTACTCCAGGTTTGGGGACCCAGGAACGAGAGGCCTAAGAGAGTTAGGGACTAGTTCAAGGTTGCTCGGACTCTCAAAACAAGTCCCTAATGCCAGGCCAGTACTGTGTGGCGGGCAGCACGACCCTCCATTCCCTCTTTATTTTGAAAACGGAACAGTTACAGGACGCTAGTTTTGACGTCGCTGGTTGTGAATGTCATTTGTGGAGCCGTTTCCCAGACCTCCGGGGGCAGGAGCCACAGGTTTGAGAGGCCGAGCAGCGCCCTCCTTTCCTGAGAGCTGAGGTTGCAGCTCTGGCTGGCTCTGGTAAGTGCTCTGCAGCCCTGGCATGGCTGGAGGAGGGGCAGCAGCTAAGTGGTTTCTGAAAAAGGGCAAAAATGATGGGAAAAGCTTTGGGATCCTCTGGGAATCAGAGCCGCAGCAAAGGCAGCTGCTTGCATCGCTGGAAGCGTTTTTTCCTTGAGTGCCGAAGGGCGTCCACAGCGACTCCTGCTAGTGCAGGGCAGCTGCTGCCAGGGCCGGGCCCGGGACCCCACGGAGGCGGGGAGACCACTCTTCTCCCACACGAGCCCAGCTCTCCCTTCGAGTAGCAACCGCCTTCAAGCTCACAAGCACCCGTGGGCCTGGGGTGTGCCTGCGTCTAGCTGGTGAGTCCCTTTCTTTGTCTGATGGCCAATGCAGACATTAGCTTTTAAGATGGCATAGTGAGTGGCCAAAAGCCGGGCCCTGTCACTTCCCAGCTGTGCGACTGTGGGCAGGTCCACTCACCTCTCTGTGCCCCAGTTACCTTATCTGAAAACGGGGGGTAGTAAGAGTGGCTGCCTCAAAGGTGGTCGTGAGGCTGAAGCGAACTTGTGGTGCCCTCAGCCTGGCTCCTTGGAAGCACCTGGGAGGTGAGAGTGGAGGTTGTTGTTACTGGGGTTTGTTCTTGTTGCTCCTGCATCAGCCGTCCTCGGGGGAGGAGGCTGCAGCTGCTGCTGAGATTGCTGGTGTGTGGCCGGAGGTTTTCAGCGTGTCGCCCTCTCTGTGGAGTGGACGAGCGCAGGGCTGGGAAGCAGGCACACTGGGTCCTTGTGCTGCTGTCCTATCTCTTTGTTCTTCACCCCTGGGTTGGGAAGCCCGCAGCCTACTGCCTCCCTTTGACAGAAGGGACTACTGAGAATAATCTGGCTGGGTCCTGGGCCAGCGTTCTCCCAGCTTCCAGAAAGTCCCCAGTGGCGAGCGGGAGGTGCTCCCAAGAACTTGGATGGATGGATGGATGGATGGATGCTTTGGGCAGAGAGAGGAGCAGGGGAGCCACACCCCATGTTGTCTCACTTGCATTGGGGAGAGAAGGGATCCTTCCCCCAGAGGGTAGGCAGTATCTGTTCTGGCTTTGGAGTTGAGAAAGACTCAGATCATACCACGTCTCTGTGGGCAGAATCGATTCTTTTAGGATTGTCCTTTAGTCCAGATTGATGAGTTTGTGAGTCTTGTGTAAACCAGAATCACCATCTCCATCACACAGCCAACACTCGTTTGCCTAAATCACGGTAGAAGTTCCCCTGATCACTGTAGAATGTTTTGCGGTGACAGGTGCATCACCACGGGCTTAGGTGCAGGGTACACTCCAGGCCTGGCAGTGGAGGGCTGTCCTGACCCTGTTCCCCGGCCCAGCCCAGGGCACATGACCCCTCAGTTCCTGTCCCACCCCGTTCCCTGGAAGAAGCTTGGTTTCCAGTAGGGAATCAGGTGCAGAGTGTGCAGTATAGATTCAGCGTTTGTCGACTGACTGAATGATAGCACAATCCCGGCTGCTTCCTGTTGGCTGGGTTTGGTTGGACTGGGACCCGTCAGAGGAAAAGGCAACGCCGCTGACAAAGAACATTGCCGAAAGGTTCATGGGAGGCTCCGGCTAACAGGTGCTCTCTTGCTGGGCTGCCTAACGAGCAGCCCCTATTCTTATTCTTAGCTTATTCTTGGAGACCATAGACATCCCTGGGACAGCCAGGCATGGGTATGACCTGGGTCTTATTCACACTGCATTTTGGGGTTCCTGAGCTGCTTGTTTGAGCGAGAGGTGCTTCAGGTTCAGGTCTTATGCCTAGCCCCTTGGGTGAGAGGGCCTATTCTGATTGGCCCCCAGGCCCTGCTGTGGAGTCTGGGTCTGAGTTGAACTGCTGAGAAAGAGCCCCAGACCTCCAGCATCGTGGTGGAGCACTGGAGATGCTCTGGAGCCAGCCTGCCTGGGGTCAAGTCCGGGTTCCATCTCTGACTGTGTGACCTCGGGGACGTGCCATAACTGCTCTGTGCCTCGGTCTCCTCATCGGTGAAGTATTTCCCTCTTAGGGATGTTGTGGGAATGAAGTGGGTGAAGGAATGCGAGTCCTGAGAACCGTGTCTGCTTTGTGCACGTGCTCAGACGCATCAACGATTCTGCTTCTCATTCGCTTCTGGTGCCTTTTAAGTGCTGCCAGGGCTGTCCGCACTGTGAACGGTCCTTGACGGGGTGTTATCTTCAGAAAGGGAAGACTAGCACCCGGCCCCCCAGGCTTCCAAAGCATCATCCATGCAACCATGTTGGCTTTCAATTCCTTGGAGTTAAGGCTGACGGCCATCTGGTTCTAACCCGGCCTCCTGTCTTCCTGTCCCACTGACTTCCCGTTCTTCAGCTGCTCTAGGCTTCCCTGTCTGTCTCCAGACCCTAGCCCACCTCTGTTCCCTTCCCAGGCTCAGCTCATCCATCACCAACTGCCATGGACCCCTCTTCAGCACCCTGCCCCCTCCTGCAGTCCCTCCGCCCAGCCAGTACCTGGTTTCTGTCTCAGCGGGGAGCTGACTCCTCTCTGTGCCCCCAGCGCAGGGCTGGACTCTGAGGAGGAGGACTCAGTAGATAGGTATTGAGTGATGAGATGAGGGAATCGGCTTTCTGTGGCCGGGAACACTCCTGCTGCAGGGGGTCCACCTGATGGGTGAGTCAGAGAAAGACTCAGGCCTGTTGAAAGTGGATCAACAGGCAGGCAGGGAGATGGCCAGTAGCCAGCCGTCCGTCCTGTTCACAGCCTGCGGAGTGGTGAGGCTGCCTCTGTGTTTTCATGGATCTGAGATTCAGAACGTAGCTGGTTTACAGCCATGGCCCAGTTGTGTGCTCTGGAGTTTCACTGCCTGAATTTTAACTTGAAAATGTAGGACTTGGGAGTCTCTCTGAGCCATTCTGGCTTGGGAGATTGCCTGATTATATATTTCAAAAAAAAAAAAAAAGAAAATGCAGGACTTGAGAAGCCTCTCATTTCTTCTGCGGCTGTTTTCCGGAATGTAGCCACTGCTGGAACAGTAATCTCCCTAACTTCCTATGGAAATGGCAATTAGAAGGGTCTGATTGCTCTTATTTCCCCATGTGTGCAGCTGCTGCTGCTGCTGCTGCTGCTGCTTCTTTTTTTTTTTTTTTTTTTTTTTTTGAGACAGAGTTTCACTCTGTTGCCCAGGCTGGAGTGCAGTGGCACAGTCTCAGCTCACTGTAACCTCTACATCCTGGGTTCAAGCGATTCTCCTGCCTCAGCCTCCCGAGTAGCTGGGATTACAGGCGCCCGACACCACGCCCGGCTAATTTTTGTATTTTTTTTAGTAGAGATGGGATTTCACCATGTTGGCCAGGCTGGTCTCGAACTCCTGACCTCAGGTGATCCACCTGCCTTGGCCTCCCAAAGTGCTGGGATTACAGGCGTGAGCCACGCGCCCAGGCCAGTACAGCTTCTTCATAAGGAGATGGACCAGGAAAGGTCCCTGCCCAGGAGGAGGTCACAGGGTGCGGGAGAGATAAATCAGTGACAGATAGCAATTGCTGGACCACATGGTAGGCTGTGTGGGACAGGCGGTCAGTGGGCTGGGCCACTGTGTGGAGGACAGCGGGGAGCATGAGCAGGGCAGGGATCTGGGGGCTTCATGGAGGAGGCGGCATCAGTGCTGGATCCTGAGGGGAAGTAGCATCTGAGTGGTGATAGGACTTGTGCAAGGGTAGACAGAGGAAAAAGCCCTTAGGTGGAGACCCGATGGGAATAGAGGCTATGGGAGGGATGTATGGGCCACCCCTGGGTGCCAGGGAGTGGGGATGCCCAGCCAGAGGGAGGGGAAGCATGGGGATGGGGCAGGATGGGAGTGGAAAATAGCATCAGCTCATGTGTCCAACTACACATGCTGCTGCCAGCGGCCAGCTGATCTCTAGGTGTTTAGGCCTAGAAGACCAACCAGCTCCAAATCACTTAAAGCCTAAACGTTCCCTGTCTCTACTAAAAATACAAACATTAGCCACGCATGGTGGCGGGCGCCTGTAATCCCAGCTACTTGGGAGGCTGAGGGAGGAGAATCGCTTGAACCTGGGAGGTGGAGGTTGCAGTGAGCAGAGATTGCCCCATTGCACTCTAGTCTGGGCGACAGAGTGAGACACACAGACACACACACACACACACACACACACACACACACACACACACACACACACACACACGCCTAAACATTCAAGGCCAGGATGCTTGACAGATGTTGATTCATAAAAATGACAAAAAGCACAAAATCCAAAATCTCGTATAAGCTCAGTGGCTGTGGCAGCGAGGTTGAAGAGCAAAGGCAGGCCGGGCACCTGGCTGATGATGTGTGGACCCGTTGCACAGCAGGGCCCCGCAGTGCGGTGTGGGTGTGGGTGGGCCAGTCTCTGCCGCTCACCCTATTCCAGGGACACAGTCTGCTTGGCTCTTCTGGACTGAGCCATCCTCATCACCGAGATCCTCCCTGAATTCAGCCCACGACAGCCACCCCGGCCGTTTTCCTTGTTCTGTGTGGGGAGGGAGGCAGCGCGGTGGTTATCAACCTCACCCTGCAGAGGAGGCACCTGAGGCCCAGAGACGAGGAGGGATGGGTCTAACCCAGAACCACAGATGGCTCTGAGCCGGGGGCCTGTCCACCCTCCCAGGCCGACGTCAGTGGCCGCAGGACTGCCTGGGCCCTGCTAGGCCTGCTCACCTCTGAGGCCTCTGGGGTGAGAGGTTCAGTCCTGGAAACACTTCAGTTCTAGGGGGCTGGGGGCAGCAGCAAGTTGGAGTTTTGGGGTACCCTGCTTCACAGGGCCCTTGGCAAGGAGGGCAGGTGGGGTCTAAGGACAAGCAGTCCTTACTTTGGGAGTCAACCCCGGCGTGGTGGCTGCTGCAGGTTGCACACTGGGCCACAGAGGATCCAGCAAGGATGAAGAAATGGAGCAGCACAGACTTGGGGGCAGCTGCGGACCCACTCCAAAAGGACACCTGCCCAGACCCCCTGGATGGAGACCCTAACTCCAGGCCACCTCCAGCCAAGCCCCAGCTCTCCACGGCCAAGAGCCGCACCCGGCTCTTTGGGAAGGGTGACTCGGAGGAGGCTTTCCCGGTGGATTGCCCTCACGAGGAAGGTGAGCTGGACTCCTGCCCGACCATCACAGTCAGCCCTGTTATCACCATCCAGAGGCCAGGAGACGGCCCCACCGGTGCCAGGTAAGTCCGCGTCTGGAGCCCCCCTCCCTGCTGGGAGCCCAGCTGGCCATGGAGATGCCACAGGGTGGTCTGGCTTCTGGGCTAAATGTCACAAAGCCAGGGGGCTGGAGAGCCTTAGGGGTGGTCTGGTCCAGCGTCCTTCCTCATGTGACCTCGTGGGATGTGCAGTCACGGGGGCTGGTGTCTGTGCTGGGTCTAGGTGTCCACGCCCGCAATGCCTACCAGCCACAGACACTTGGACTTGAAGTCTAAAAGCTCAAGGGCAGGAGGCTTTTGGAGAGCACAGCACAGCTCCAGTGAGCTGCAAGGCAGGGCAGGGAGGGCCACAGGCTGGCTGACTTCTGGGGAGTGTGAGGCCACCTTTTCCCTTAGAGGGGCTGTCTACACCCCTGCCTCCACCTCCCTCCGTCCCCACCAGGCTCCTGCCTCCCGAGCTCCCGAGCAGGCAGAGAAGCCAGTGGTCTGGGAGTAGGAGGGTGACTTTCTAGATGGTGTCTATAGACAGGGTGGGGACAGAATGGGGACACATGCCCTCCACTGTCCCTGTTACATTGCTTTTCTGGACAGTCACCTAGACTGAGGGGCAGCTTTTATATCATTTTTCCCCTTTTTGGTTTGCCTTGGGATTTAGTCGTGTTCCCTTGACAAGCTCCGAAGGCCTCAGGGCCGAGGGGAGGCCAGGGTATGAGACGAGCGTGTTTTCTGGCCCACAGGCTGCTGTCCCAGGACTCTGTCGCCGCCAGCACCGAGAAGACCCTCAGGCTCTATGATCGCAGGAGTATCTTTGAAGCCGTTGCTCAGAATAACTGCCAGGATCTGGAGAGCCTGCTGCTCTTCCTGCAGAAGAGCAAGAAGCACCTCACAGACAACGAGTTCAAAGGTGGCCCCAGCGCTGGGCTCGGGGAGGGCCCCAGCCCTGGCCTGCCCTGACCCTCCCTTATGTCTTTCAGACCCTGAGACAGGGAAGACCTGTCTGCTGAAAGCCATGCTCAACCTGCACGACGGACAGAACACCACCATCCCCCTGCTCCTGGAGATCGCGCGGCAAACGGACAGCCTGAAGGAGCTTGTCAACGCCAGCTACACGGACAGCTACTACAAGGGTGAGGAGGGCGGCGGGGCCGGGCATGGCTCAGCCCGCAGCACCGGGAAGCAGGGGGGCATGGTTGTCCCTGGGCCTCCTTGCTTCTCTGGGATCCTTACTCCCTGTCCCAGCCACTGCGTTGGTGGCTCCTAATCCTAGGGGGTCCCTGCCTCTCCCATCTGCTGGCTTGATTTCTCCTGGTCCTGGGGGTCTCTGCCTCCCCGATCTGATGTCTCCTCTCTTGACCCTGAGAAGTCCCTGCCTCCCCCTGCTGACTGGATGGTCCCTGTCCCTGGAAGTCACAGCCTCTGGCCTTTCTCTCTGCTGCTGTTCCTTGCCCCCGGGGCAATTTTGACTCCTCTGGCTTCCAACCCGTTATTTCCTGTTCCCAGGGGTCTCCTGTCTCAGGACCTTGCTGGGACCCCTTGGGGGACCCTGGCCTGGCCTCCTGCAGTGGGGGGGTCCTCCAGGCACTTTCTGCCCAGTTCCTCCTGCAGCAGCTGCTGCCTGCCCAGAGCCCTTCCCCAGCACCTGTCCCGGCAGCCCCACAGGACCGTGACCACGAAGCCAACCGTGCGCGTCCTCTGTAGGCCAGACAGCACTGCACATCGCCATCGAGAGACGCAACATGGCCCTGGTGACCCTCCTGGTGGAGAACGGAGCAGACGTCCAGGCTGCGGCCCATGGGGACTTCTTTAAGAAAACCAAAGGGCGGCCTGGATTCTACTTCGGTAGGGAGACAGTGTGGCAGACCCTGATCTTTTTGGCTTTTGCTAAGGGGAGGTTTGGGCAGAGACAGAGGGAGTTTGGAGGCCGGTGGTTCAGGGGCCAGCTGGATCTCACTCCTGAGGCCCACCTGGGCCCTGTGTTCATGCAGGTGAACTGCCCCTGTCCCTGGCCGCGTGCACCAACCAGCTGGGCATCGTGAAGTTCCTGCTGCAGAACTCCTGGCAGACGGCCGACATCAGCGCCAGGGACTCGGTGGGCAACACGGTGCTGCACGCCCTGGTGGAGGTGGCCGACAACACGGCCGACAACACGAAGTTTGTGACGAGCATGTACAATGAGATTCTGATGCTGGGGGCCAAACTGCACCCGACGCTGAAGCTGGAGGAGCTCACCAACAAGAAGGGAATGACGCCGCTGGCTCTGGCAGCTGGGACCGGGAAGATCGGGGTAAGAGGGGGCTTCGGCTCAGGCTGGTGCGGTGCGGGGCTGATGGCATGGGAGAGGACTGCCTGACTCACTGCGGGAGCCTGGCGTCGCTATCTGTGTGTGCGGGACTCTGATTCTGTCATACCAGCCTGTAGGGCTGTTAGAATAAGTCTGAGAAATTGGGAGCCACAGGGCAGAACCCTGCAATGGCCAACGTGCCATTTTGAATTTCCAGCTCTGAGTATCAGCAACAAGACATGGGGTGGGGTAGGGTGCTGGGCAATGGAGGAGGGACTGCCTAGGGTGGAACAGAAGAATAGCTGTTGGGCTGGGCACGGTGACTCACTCTTGTAATCCCAGCATTTTGGGAGGCCGACGTGGGTGGATCACCTGAGGTTAGGAGTTCGAGACCAGCCTGACCAACCTGGTGAAACCTCTACTAAATATACAAAAATTAGCCAGGCATGGTGGCAGGTGCCTACAATTCCAGCTACTCAGGAGGCTGAGGCACAAACATCACTTGAACTTGGGAGGCGGAGGTGGCAGTGAGCCAAGATTTTGCCACCGCACTCTAGCCTGTGTGACAGAGCAAGACTCTGTCTCAAAAAAAAAAAAAAAGGAAAAAGAAAAAAGCTGTTGGTGTTTTTCCATGGCAGGCAGGAGCATGGCAGGCAGGAGCTTTAGGTAACAAGGCTGATGGCTCCAGCTCCCAGCTCCAGCTGGTGGCTCCTGGTGACAGGCCTCCAGCTCTTGGCCTCAAGTGATCCTTCCACCTCAGCCTCCCAAGTAGCTGGGATTACAGGCATGAGCCACCCCATCTGGCTCTCATTTCTTGCATTCTCTTTCTTTCTTTCTGGCTTGAGGTTATCGAGAATGGACCACCGCTGTCCTTCATGGTGAGATGGTAGAGCTGGGGCCTCGCCGTGAGGGGATTGTGGGCCTGATATGGTGCAGGTAGTATCTGAGGCAGCTGGCTGGTTGACGTTTGTGTGTTTTGTTTTTTTTTTTTTTTTTAGATGAGGTTTCGCTCTTGTTGCCCAGGCTGGAGAGCAGTGGCACAATCTCGGCTCACTGCAACCTCTGCCTATCAGGTTCAAGTGATTCTCCTGTCTCGGCCTCTCAAGTAGCCGGGATTACAGGAACACGCCACCATGCCCGGCTAATTTTTTTTTTGTATTTTCAGTAAAAACAGGATTTTGCCATGTTGGCCAGGCTGGTCTCAAAATCCTGACCTCAGGTGATCCACCCGCCTCAGCCTCCCAAAGTGCTGGGATTACAGGCATGAGCCACCCGTGCCCGGCCGGCTGGTTGATCTCAGTGGTGGTCAGGAGTGGGTGGGGACTCGCCTGGGGCTTAGGTGGGGCCACCAGCTGGGCTGGGAAGCAGAGCTGGTTGTTGAGGTACTGTCTGAGGCTGAGCCTGGGGCTGGCCTCTGACGGGCTCTTGCTCCCCGGGGGCAGGTCTTGGCCTATATTCTCCAGCGGGAGATCCAGGAGCCCGAGTGCAGGCACCTGTCCAGGAAGTTCACCGAGTGGGCCTACGGGCCCGTGCACTCCTCGCTGTACGACCTGTCCTGCATCGACACCTGCGAGAAGAACTCGGTGCTGGAGGTGATCGCCTACAGCAGCAGCGAGACCCCTGTGAGTGGCTGGGGCACAGCCAGGGAGGGCCTCAGGGCCTCTGCACCCAAGCCCCAATCCCAGCCCCTGGTCCAGCTCCAGCTGGCTTCTCAGGAGGGAAAGCCTGCTGCGCCCGGGCCCAGGCCCTGCAGCCTCACGTTCCCCACTCATGCCCACTGAATTTTCCCTAAGCATAGCAACCATACGTGATTATCATCCCATAAAAACAGAAACGTTTCAGAGGGACATGGACAAAAGGACCCTCCTTTTATACTATTTAAAAATGCACAGTTTCATTTTGTTTACATAAATGAGATCAGACTATACACAATGTACAACAACCTTTTTTTTTTTTCACTTGATGGCAGGGCGTGTAGATTTTTCTTTTTTTTTTTGAGACGAAGTTTTGCTCTTGTTACCCAGGCTGGAGTGAAATGGTGCCATCCCGGCTCACTGCAACCTCTATCTCCCGGGTTCAAGCGATTCTCCTCGAATCCGAAGTAGCTGGGATTACAGGCATGCGCCACCAGGCCCTGCTAATTTTTTGTATTTAATAGAGACAGGATTTCTCCATGTTGGTCAGGGTGGTCTCGAACTCTTGACCTCAGGTGATCCGCCCTCCTTGGCTTCCCAAAGTGCTGGGATCACAGGTGTGAACCACTGCGCCAGGCCAAGAACTTATTTTTGTGTAGGTGTGAAGTAGGCATCTTACTTAAATATTTTGGCTCCAAATGAATGTCTTAGTGTTACGTAGTGAGTAATCCATCCTGCCACGCTGTTTGGAAAGGCCACCTTATCTGTCCCTTCTTTCTAAGGTGATGCTCTGAGCTCCTAAGGCAGACTTGGGGGCTAGAGTCTGTGCCATCAGCAGTGAGGGGCTTCCACGACATCTCACAGGTCAGAGGTTGCGTTTACAGGAGCAGAGTCCGGGGCTGGGAAAGGCCTGGTCTGCTCTGCCTCCCCTGGGCTGCCATGCTGAACCTGGGCCTCCAACTCAGAGTGCTGGATACAAGTGTTCCCAGAGGAGAGGTCCAGATAGGAGGTGGCCTCAACAAGGACTGCAGTATTTGACCTGGGGGAGAGGCTCTGGGACCACCACTGACATCTTCATGTCTCTAAAGGCTCTCAGGGACAAGGAGTGTGGACTTGTCCTGGGGACCCTAGGGCAGAGCCAGGACCACTAGTGGAAAGTAGAGAAGACCAAAGAAGAGGTATTCCCTACAGGCAGTGAGTCTCCATAGGCCTCTTGAGGCAGTAAGGAGTTTCCCATTCCCAAAGGCATTCAAGAAGACACTGATCAGGAACCTCTTTGAGGGAGCTTAAGTTTGGGGTGGGGGTTGGACTCGATGGCCTGAGGGAGGCTGGGATGATCTGATTTTGGCTCATCAGTCTCAGGGATACTTGAACTTATTTTTATTTTATTTTATTTTATATTTTGAGACAGAGTCTTGCTCTGTCACCCAGGTTGGAGTGCAATGGCGTGATCTCAGCTCACTGCAACTTCTGCTTCCTGGGGTTCAAGCAGTTCTCCCACCTCAGCCTCCCAAGTAGCTGGGATTACAGGCACCCACCACCATGCCTGGCTAATTTTTGTATTTTTGTAGAGAAGGAGTTTCACCACGTTGGCCAAGCTGGTCTTGAACTCCAGACTTCAAGTGATCCACCTGCCTCGGCCTCCCAGAGTGCTGGGATTACAGGCGTGAGCCACTACACCCGGCCTATTTGAACTTTATCAAAGTCTCTGGATATGAGACATTTGCCCCAAAGCATACTTGTAATGATGGCATGAGGCACTGGGCCCTCCTGGGGCAGGAAGGGCCTCCTAGTTCCCTGCCTCCCTGCCGCCCTGCCTGACCCAGGGCTGGAAACGTGAGAAGTGAGGACCCAGAGGCTCTTTCCTGCCTGCCCTGAGCCCCTCATGCCCAGGCTCTGCCTAAGCCAACTACTTCCCATTACTGTGGGCTCTCGGGAGGGAGTTATTAGACACAACGGGCAGTGCGGTGGGCCATTAAGTGAGCACTTAAGAGCTTGTCCAGTTTCACCCCATTCACTGCACCTCTGGGGACACTGAGGCCAAGAGGGCAGGTCCCTCCGTGAGCCGCGGCAGTGCTGGGACCAGCCCCAGGCTATGGCTGCCGGCTGGCTCAGACCTCCCATCTCACCTGCTCCGTGGGCTGAGGACTGTGCGGGCCACATGGCTGTGAGGGGCACCACGGGCTGGTGTGGGCGTGCGAGGAGTTCCTGCTGCAGGAGGGAACCTCACTTCTCTCCCCACCCCCTAGAATCGCCACGACATGCTCTTGGTGGAGCCGCTGAACCGACTCCTGCAGGACAAGTGGGACAGATTCGTCAAGCGCATCTTCTACTTCAACTTCCTGGTCTACTGCCTGTACATGATCATCTTCACCATGGCTGCCTACTACAGGCCCGTGGATGGCTTGGTGCGGCCAGAGGCTCAGGCCTCGTGGGCGAGGGTGTGGGTGGTGGGGAAGGGGTGTGGACATTTCGGGAGACCTCCCCGACCCCAGGCCCAGGCTCTGCCCTGGACTCCTTCCCAGCTTGCGGGAGCGATGGATGGAGAACGTGGAGAACCTCGTATCCCTGCGCCCATCTCCCCTGCCTCAGGCTGTACAGGAGACCCGCCCCCTTCCCGCTTCTCAGTTCCTCTCCTTTAACCTTGAGGTCCTGTGGGGCTGAGTGTGTGGTGACTCAGGTCCCTGATTGTAGACGGGGTGTACTCGGTTAGAAAGCATGCAGGGGCCGGGCATGGTGGCTCATGCCTGTAATCCCAGCACTTTGGGAGGCTGAGGTGGGCAGATCACCTGAGGTCTGGAGTTTGAGACCAGCCTGACCAACATGGTGAAACCCCGTCTCTACTAAAAACACCAAATTAACTGGGTGTGGTGGAGCCTGCCTGTAATCCCAGCTACTCAGGGAGGCTGAGACAGGAGAATCGCTTAAACCTTGGAGGCAGAGGTTGTGATGAGCTGAGATGGCACCACTGCACTCCAGGCTGGTCAACAAGAGTGAAACTCTGTCTCAAAAAAAAAAAAAGAAAAATCACGCAGGAATTTGGGCTCGGGACAGGGCTCACCCCTGGCCTGGGGGTCCCCAGGGATGTGGGCTGGTGTCTAAGCCCAGAGCCCACCATCATCCTGCTTGCCTGCCCTCTTTCATTCACTCACTTGCTCATTATTCATTCCCTGGATTTAGACTTTTGAGCAGCTCTGTGCCAGGCCCTGGGCCATCCATCAAATCAGCCTAAGACCAGCCTTTTTCCTCTGCCAAGAGCCAAGACTTCATCAAACTTCTGGACTTAGTCCTTCGTGTCTGATACCCAGGACACTTAATTTGCTGCTTTTGTTTCCAGGGCACTTTACAAGTTTACTTACTTACTTAATTTTTGTTTTTTTGAGATGGAGTCTCGCTCTATCACCCAGGCTGGAGTGCAGTGGCGCAATCTCTGCTCACTGCAACCTCCACCTCCCGGGTTCAAGTGACTCTTCTGCCTCGGCCTCCCGAATAGCTGGGACTACAGGCACCCACCAACATGCCAAGCTTATTTTTATATTTTTAGTAGAGATGGGATTTCACCGTATTGGCCAGGCTAGTCTTGAACTCCTGACCTCAAGTGATCGCCTGCCTCGGCCTCCCAAAGTGCTTGGATTACAGGTGTGAGCCACCGTGCCCGGCTGCACATTTACTTTAAAAACTCAACTTCATAATTGCATGAAACCCGA
Source organism: Homo sapiens (assembly GCF_000001405.40). Classification (NCBI taxonomy): domain Eukaryota; kingdom Metazoa; phylum Chordata; class Mammalia; order Primates; family Hominidae; genus Homo; species Homo sapiens. The sequence goes on along the minus strand of NC_000017.11, from coordinate 3,584,468 downwards.
TTTCTGTCCACCTATTAAGGCCACATAATGACTTCCTTTTTTTTTTATTTTATTTTTTTTTTTTTTGAGACAGAGTCTCTCTCTGTTTTCCAGGCTGGAGTGCAGTGGTGTGATCTCAGCTCACTGCAAGCTCTGCCTCCTGGGTTCACGCCATTCTCCTGCCTCAGCCTCCCTCTTTTTTTTTGTTTTTTGTTTTTTGTTTTTTGAGACAGAGTCTCGCTCTGTTGCCCAGGCTGGAGTGCAGTGGCGCCACCTTGGCTCACCGCAACCTCTGGCTCCGGGGTTCAAGTGATTCTTCTGTCTCCCAAGTAGCTGGGATTACAGCCATGAGCTACCACGCCTGGCTAATTTTGTATTTTTAGTAGAGATGGGGTTTCTCCATGTTGGTCAGGCTGGTCTCGAACTCTCGACCTCAGGTGATCCGCCCGCCTCGGCCTCCCAAAGTGCTGGGATTACAGGCGTGAGCCACTGCACCCGGCCAGTGACTTCTTTTTAAGAGAAAAATGTGCTGGTAAGGCAAGCTGATGAACTAGTGCTTAGGAAATGTGGATGGTGACCCACTCCAGGAAATGGCCACTGAAATACAAGGGTGACACCCACAAGTGTGTGTGGCACAGTCTCTCCCTCCATGGTCAGTGGGAGTCCCTGACACTCGTGGGAGACTGGCCATGGGCTGGGGTGGCAGCGGGATGTGTATGGCGTGGGGTCCATGAGAGTGCTTCCACCTCTCCATCACCCTGCTGTCCATCACTCTGCTCCCAGCCAGGAGGAGCTCTGGGCCTGCCGGGACATTGCTTGGGAGGCGGCACAGCATTGTAAGATGCTCCGCTTGGCACCTGCAGGCTGCCACTTTGGGGAATCAGGCCCACAGAGGGGCCTCCTTGCGGGCGCTCCCCTAATAACACACTGTCTTTGTGTGTCCTTCCCCTGATGGAGGCTGTGCCTCCTGGGCAGGGACTATGGCTTCATGGACCTGGTCCATGTTTGTTGAATGAACGAATGAGTAAATGGAGTTACCAACTTCTCTGCATCTCACAGCCTCCCTTTAAGATGGAAAAAACTGGAGACTATTTCCGAGTTACTGGAGAGATCCTGTCTGTGTTAGGAGGAGTCTACTTCTTTTTCCGAGGGGTAAGCGTTCCTTCCCACATTGTGAGTTTCCATTATCACCAAAACAAAAAGCCAAGAAGATCCCTCAGCGCTCACTCACTTTTTAATTCATCAGACACATCATAGCCCTACTTGGGGAGCTGAGAGACGCAGAGGTGAAGATGAGAGCCCTTCAGTCAGTCACCGCGGGGCGGGAGGGTGCTCAGGGCGTCTCCACAGGCCCAAGGCAGGCAAGCTTGAAAGTAGACACTCCAGCCACTCCACGGAACGGAGTATTTGATTACAGGGGCAGAGTGGAGGCCTCTTAAGTGATAGGATCATGACTGGTAGTTTTTTAATTAAACCAATCTGTTAAAGCTCTGAGCAGTGAAGGAAATCTCCTTGCATACTGGAATCTTTTTTTTTTTTTTTTGAGGTGGAGTTTCGCTTTGTCATCTAGGCTGGAGGCTAGTGGCACGATCTCGGCTCACTGCAACCTCCGCCTCTTGGGTTCAAAAAATTCTCCTGAGTAGCTGGGATTACAGGCGCCTGCCACCACAGCCGGCTAATTTTTTTGTATTTTTAGTAGAGGTGGGGTTTCACCATGTTGGCCAGGCTGGTCTCGAACTCCTGACCTCAGGTGATCCACCTGCCTCAGCCTCCCAAAGTGCTGGGATTACAGGCGTGAGCCACCACACCAGCAAGGAATTGTTTTATTTTTAACCTGAAACTCAAACATGTGCAATCCTTGGCCATTTTTTTTTTTTTTAATGCAGGAGTAATCTTTTCTTTGAATGTGGGACTCACTGTTTCAGATTTTACATCACCTTTCTTGCAAAAACCATATTTATATAATCTAAGATTTCTAGTTTCAGCTTCTTTAAAGAAGAGTGAGAACTTAGCTGCGTACAAAAAAGTCTGAATGTAGAATTTGAGATGATCATTGGTTTTTGTTTTTGTTTTTTTTGACTCTGGAAACCCTTGTAGTATTTTAATTTTAATTTTTATAAGATGGGGTCTTGCTGTGTCACCCAGGCTGGAGTGCAGTGGCGTGATCGTGGCTCACTTCAACCTCTGTCTCCTGGGCTCAAGCAATCCTCCCACCTCAGCCTCTGGAGTAGCTGGAACTACAGGAAGCCATCACCATGCCCAGGCTCCACTGTGATTTTTTTTTTTTTTTTTTTTTTTTTGAGATGGAGTCTCACTCTTTCGCCCAGGCTGGAGTGCAGTGGCACAATCTCCACTCACTGCAAGCTCCGCCTCCTGGGTTCACGCCATTCTCCTGCCTCAGCCTCCCGAGTAGCTGGGACTACAGGCACCCGCCACCACGCCCGGCTAATTTTTTGTATTTTTAGTAGAGACGGGGTTTCACCGTGTTAGCCAGGATGGTCTCGATCTCCTGACCTCGTGATCCGCCCACCTTGGCCTCCCAAAGTGCTGGGATTACAGGTGTGAGCCACTGTGCCTGGCCCCATTGTGATTTTTTTTTTTTTCTGAGATGGAGTCTCGCTTAGTTGCCCAGGCTGGAGTGCAGTGGTGTGATCTTGGCTCACTGCAACCTCCACCTCCTGGGTTCAAGTGATTCTCCTGCCTCAGCCTCCCGAGTAGCTGGGACTACAGGTGCGTGCCACCGCGCCCGGCTAATTTTTGTATTTTTAGTAGAGACGGGGTTTCACCATGTTAACCAGGATGGTCTCGGTCTCCTGACCTCGTGATCCGCCCGCCTCGGCCTCCCAAAGTGCTGGGATTACAGGCGTGAGCCACTGTGCCCAGCCTTCTATTGTGATTTTTATCCCCTAGTCTTTTTTGGTATAAGCTCTATCCAGTTTTTTTTTTCAGTCACTCACCTTTATGGAATTGTTCAGTCATTGAACTTCGTCTTCACAGAGACAACTGTCTTTCTTTTCACACTCATGGTTTACATTACAGTAAAGTACAGTGCCACAGTAGCAAGTGTGGCTGGAATGGCAAAAGCAGGATTGGCCTGTGGGAGGGAGCAGAAGGGTGGTGGTGTCTTGGACAGGACTCATGGCTGACAGTGGCGGCTTGTTACAAGAATTTTTATTTTAACGCTTACTTAAAATTAAGAAAAAAATATGCTCGGCATGTGAAAAATTAAGAAAAAGGTGGCTCACGCTTGTAATCCCAGCTACTTGGGAGGCTGAGGCCAGGAGTTTGAGACCAGCTTGGGCAACATAGTGAGACTCTGATCTCTTAAAAAAAAATTAGGAAAAAGCTCCAATTAGAAGAAAACAATTTGCCCAATTCAATACAGCAACTGATAACATTTTAATGATTTTCCTTCCTGTCTGTACTTCTGGGTATAGTTGTAAATCCACTGTGTAATTTTTTTTTTTTTTTTTGAGATGGAGTCTCGCTGTCACCCAGGCTGGAGTGCAATGGCCTGATCTTGGCTCACTGCAGCCTCTGCCTCCTGGGTTCAAGCGATTTTCTTGCCTCAGCCTCATGAGTAGCTGGGATTACAGGTGCCCGCCACCACGCGCAGCTAATTGTTTTGTATTTTTAGTAGAGACGGGATTTCACCATGTTGGCCAGGCTGGTCTCGAACTCCTAACCTCAGGTGATCCACCCGCCTTGGCCTCCCAAAGTGCTGGGATGACAGGCGTGAGCCACCATGCCCGGCTTCCACTGTGTATTTTTAACCATCTCTACTGACTGGGCCACCTAGTGTCACCCCATTGGCCTGACCCTTGCTGTTCTGCTCTTTTCACAATCTGTGCTTTCACACATTCGACCACCCCATCATGGTGCCATTTAGGAAGCATCTGAGTGCTCACCATTTAGCCACATCGAGCATTGCCTGGGATCTTACTCTCTCTGTTTACCTGCAGATTCAGTATTTCCTGCAGAGGCGGCCGTCGATGAAGACCCTGTTTGTGGACAGCTACAGTGAGATGCTTTTGTAAGTGACACTTTGACTCATTCCCAGTCCAGTCCCCAGGTGACCGCAATCAGTTCTCACTTGAGGTCTCACTCACGCCGGGCCTGGCACATAGTGGGACCTCAGTGAACATGCTGAGGGAATGACGGAAGGCACTGAATACATACTCGGGGGATGAATGAATACTGAGGGCCTGCTCTGTGCCAGGGGCCAGGGATCGAGAAACTGCCGTGACTTACAGTCCGAGTGAGACGGACCTTGTTCACCTTCCCACTCATTGTCCATCCATCTGCCATTCGAGGGGTTGGCCCTGGAATACTGGATGAAACAGACATGGCGCCCGCCTTTGGGGAGTTTCCTATCTTTAACGGGGGGTTGTGCGACCTTGGCACTGTTGATATTTTGGACTGGGTAGTGCTTAGTTGTGGTGGTTGGGGGGCGGGGCGGGGCGGGGGCTGCCCTGTGCATCGTAGAGTATATAGCAGCATCACCGGCCTCTACTCGCAGCTGCCTGGAGCTTCCCCATCCCCCAGTCGCCTGGAGCTTCCCCATCCCCCAGTCTTGACAATCAAGAACATTTCCAGATATGGCCAAAGGCCCCTCACTTGTTTTGGGGGGTGGTGCCGGAATCACTCCCGGTTGAGAACCACCGCTTTAGGAGGAAGCAGATGAGTGAAAGCACAGTTATAGAACAGTTTGGATGGCCGGGCGCAGTGGCTCACGCCTGTAATCCCAGCACTTTGGGAGGCTGAGGCGGGTGGATCACTTGAGGTCATGAGTTCAAGACCAGACTGGCCAACATGGTGAAACCCCGTCTCTACTAAAAATACAAAAATTAGGCAGGCATGGTGGCACGCACCTGTAATCCCAGCTACTCGGGAGGCTGAGGTGGGAGAATTGTTTGTACCCGGGAGACAGAGGTTGCAGTGAGCCCAGATCGCGCCATTGCATTCCAGCCTAGGTAACAGAGCGAGATTCCATCTCTAAATAAATAAATAGAACATTGTGGATGTGGCAGGAAACCTCCTTCCTTCAGAAAGTAAGCCAGAGCCTCAAGCCCCAGTGTGCACCGAGGGCCTTCCAGGACCTGTCTCCTGGGATCTCGGCTCACAGTCCCCGTCCTGATCTCTTCCTTCCTGGAAGAACAAGGAATAATTTCAAATCCTCTTGCAGCTAGCTTGTCCGTACGACTCACAAACCGCATCCTTTAACCCAATTTTTTTTTTTGGACAAGTAAAACTAGAATTAGCTTTATTTAACATGATTGTGAAAGGAACACTTATTTTAATTTTTTTAAAAGAATTTAGATTTCAGGGTACTTGTGCAGGTTTGTTAGGTGGGTATATTGTATGATGCTGAGGTCTGGGGGTCTAATGATCTGGTCACCCAAGTAGTGAACATAGTACCTGATAGGTAGTTTTTCAACCCTTGTCCCCCTCCCGGCTTCCCCACTTTTGGAATCCTAAGTGTTTGTTGTTCCCGTCTTTGTGCTTGTGGGTGCCCAGTGTTTTGCTCCACTTATAAGTAAGAACATGTGGGATTTGGTTTTCTGTTTCTGTGTTAATTTGCTTAGGATAATGGCCTCCAGCTACATCCATGTTGCTGCAAAGGACGTGATTTCATTCTTTTTTATGGCTGCATAGTATTCCATGGTATATACGTACCACTTTTTGATTATCCAGTCTACCATTGATGGGCACCTGGATTGATTCCATGCTTTGCTATTGTGAATAGTGCTTTGATAAACACAGGAGTGCAGGCATCTTTTTGGTAGAATGGGTTCTTTTCCTCTGTTTTCCCCCTAATCTTGAGATACCTATACTTTAGCCCCGAAAGGCAAACTCAAGAGGCAAGGTCTGTAGGTTTACCACACTGATTTACCTGCCTAAGAGAAGCAGTTTTCTACATAGCATTGTGATTCTCCTGCCTCAGTGTCCCCAGTAGCTGGGATTAGAGGGGTGCACCTTGCCCAGGTAATTTTCATATTTTTAGTAGAGACAGGGTTTCACTGTGTTGGCCAGGCTGGTCTTGAACTCCTGACCTCAAGTGATCTGCCTCCCAAAGTTCTGGGATGACAGGTGTGAGCCATCACGCCTGGCCACTATATATCCTTTTATGTACTTTTTATTTATTTATTTATTTGTTTATTTATTTGTTTATTTATTTATTTGAGACGGAGTCTCGCTCTGTCTCCCAGGCTGGAGTGCAGTGGCATGATCTTGGCTCACTGTAACCTCCGCCTCCCGGGTTCAGGTGATTCTCCTGCCTCAGCCTCCTGAGTAGCTGGGATTACAGGCGTGCACCACCATGCCTGGCTAAATTTTTTTTTGTATTTTTAGTAGAGGTGGGGCTTCACCATGTTGGTCAGGCTGGCCTCGAACTCCTGACCTTGTGCTCCGCATGCCTCAGCCTCCCAAAGAGCTGGGATTAAAGGCGTGAGCTACTGCGCCTGGCCTTTAGGTACTATATTTATATCTGTGCTTTATACATAAAGAGTGAGATTTTGCACAGCTCCTCACCAAGCCAATTTCTGCTCCTTGGGGACGATGCTGCTTCCACGGAGAACGCCTGGGCTGAAAGAGTCAGGACAGCCCAACCCTAGCTCCTATTGCGGCCTGCAGTCTGGACCTCTGAGCGGCCTGTGACCTTTTGTTCTGGGGGTGCCAGGCCTCCTGGGTTCCCGTAGACGGAGCTTTCTGCCCCTCCACCCGCAGCTTTCTGCAGTCACTGTTCATGCTGGCCACCGTGGTGCTGTACTTCAGCCACCTCAAGGAGTATGTGGCTTCCATGGTATTCTCCCTGGCCTTGGGCTGGACCAACATGCTCTACTACACCCGCGGTTTCCAGCAGATGGGCATCTATGCCGTCATGATAGAGAAGGTGGGTTCCCTGGGCCCCAGTGGGTCTCCTCAGAGCCCGCTTACCTCGTGGTCATGTGAGATGGGGCCAAGAACTCCGCCCATCCTCTCTGTCGTGCCTGGGAAGGGGCTGGTTTACCCCCCAGCCTATTTTCCAAGAATCAAGCAATCTGGCCCTGACCCAGGTATGTGTAGGGGGGTCCCCTGAAACCTGACCCCCCCTGCACACCAGGCCTCCATCTCCCGACCAGAACAAAGGCTATGGGGGAAGGGTGGGTGACTCCCTCATGACCCCTGAGCTGAGAACCAGCAAAGCAAACCGCCCTGCACGTTCTCAAGACGCATCCCCAGGCCGATGCGGCCCGGCCCTTCCCTCAGCTCCTCCTGGGCCTGGCCTCGGCTCTGATGAGCCTGCTGTCTCCTGCAGATGATCCTGAGAGACCTGTGCCGTTTCATGTTTGTCTACATCGTCTTCTTGTTCGGGTTTTCCACAGGTAATGAGCTTGGTCAGCGCTGGGGGAGGGCAGGGGTCCTGCTTGGCTGAGCCTTCTGAAGACTCTGCCAGGAGCTGAATGAGAAGGCACTGGGTAGGCAGGTGCATGTCTGCAGGTGACTGAGAGGGTGGACAGAGGACACACTGAAATGAGCTCCAGGACTTGGCCACGTGTTATATAAAATGCTTTAAGAATTTTCCAGGCTGGAAGTGCTGTGGCTGCCACATAGCATTTTGGCTCAGTTGTTTTTTCAACTTTTTTTTTTTTTTTTTTTTTTGAGATGGAGTCTCACTCTGTCGCCAAGGCTGGAGTGCAGTGGCACGACCTTGGCTCACTGCAACCTCTGCCTCCTGGGTTCAAGCAATTCTCCTACCTCAGCCTCCCAAGTAGCTGGGATTACAGGCGCCCACGACCATGCCCGGCTAGTTTTTATGCATATATATATATATATATATATTTTTTTTTTTTTTTTCTCATACAGAGTCTAGCTCTCTTGCCCAGGCTGGCGTGCAGTGGCGCGATCTCGGCTCACTGGAGGCTCCGCCTCCCGGGTTCACGCCATTCTCCTGCCTCAGCCTCCCGAGTACCTGGGACTACAAGTGCCTGCTACCACGCCTGGCTAATTTTTTGTATTTTTAGTAGAGATGGGGTTTCACCATGTTAGCCAGGATGGTCTCGATCTCCTGACCTCGTGATCCGCCTGCCTCGGCCTCCCAAAGTGCTGGGATTACAGGCATGAGCCACTGCACCTGGCTAGTTGTTATATTTTTAATAGAGATGGGGTTTTACCATATTGGCCAGGCTGGTCTCAAACTCCTGACCTGAGGTGATCCACCCACCTTGGCCTCCCAAAGTGCTGGGATTACAGGCATGAGCCACAGTGCCTGGCCATTAATTATTTTTTGAGACAGAGTCTCATGCTGTTGCCCAGGCTGGAGTGCAGTGGCGCCATCTCAGCTCACTACAACCTCCACTTCCAGGGTTCAAGTGATTCTTGTGCCTCAGCCTCCCCAGTAGCTGGGATTACAGATGCCCGCCACCACACCTGGCTATTTTTTTTTTTTGTATTTTTAGTAGAGACGGGGTTTTGTCATGTTGGTCTTGAGCTCCTGACCTCAAGTGATCTGCCCGCCTCGGCTCCCAAAGTGCTAGGATGACAGGGTGAGCCACCGCGCCTGACCTTAGTCTTCTTTAATCCAGGGCACTTCCTGCATCATTCCTTGTCATTTGCGACCTCAGAATTTGTAATGAGTAGAGGCCAGTGGTTTTGACAATGTTTCTCAATTTGGGTGTGTCTGATGTTTCCTCACGATTATAGCCAGGCATGCATTTTTGGCCAGAATATCAAGAAGCCATGTGTGTCTTCTGCTGTGTGTTTTATTGGGAGTCACATGATGTCCGTCTCACTTCTGGTGACGTTAGCTTTGATGACTTGGTTTTGGTGGATCTGCCAGACTTTTCCACTGTAAAGCTACTATATTTACCTTTGTGATGGATACTTTTCAAGGAGATGCTTTGAAACTATGTGACTAGCCTGTTTCTCATCAGACTTTCACCAGGAGTTCTAGCATCCGTTGATGAGTCTTACCTGAATCACTTCATCCTGTGATGGTGGCCAAATGATGATTTTTTTTTTTTTTCTTGAGAAGGAGTCTCTGTCTGTCGCCCAGGCTGGCATGCAGTGGTGCCATCTCTGCTCACTGCAACCTCGGCCTCCCAGGTTCAAGCAATTCTCCTGCCTCAGCCTTCCAGGTAGCTGGGATCACAGCTGCCCATCATCACGCCCGGCTAATTTTTATATTTTTAGTACAGATGGGGTTTTACCATGTTACTCAGGCTGGTCTCAAACTCCTGACCTCAGGTGATCCGCCTGCCTTGGCCTCCCGAAGTGCTGGGATTACAGGCATGAGCCACCACACCCAGAGAAGATGATCTTCTAACTCCATCATTGCTTCTGCATTTATTACCTGGCATTCTGTTATAGAGAAGAGCTAACCATTCCCCATTTCTATGTATTTGTTTGTATCAGAATGGCCTCATGGAGTCTTTTGTTTTCATGGATTCTCACTTTGTTAAATGGGTTATAATCCTTACTATCCTCTTTTATTTTAATACTCAAATTGTCTGAGATTAGTCACTGGAGTCCCTTCCAGCTGGCTCCTGTGCTCTTTTCACATGTCCACATCTTTTTTTTTTTTTTTTTTTTTTGAGATAGAGTCTCGTTCTGTCGCCCAGGCTGGAGTGCAGTGGCGCGATCTGCAAACTCTGCCTCCCAGGTTCAAGCAATTCTCCTGCCTCAGCCTCCCAAGTAGCTAGGATAATCCCAACCTGGCTATTTTTAGTAGAGACGGGTTTCACCCTGTTGGCCAGGCTGGTCTCAAACTCCTGACCTCAGGTGATCCGCCTGCCTCAGCCTCCCAAAGTGCTGGGATTACAGGCGTGAGCCACCATGCCCGGCCTCCACATCATTTTTTGAGCACTGGACTCTGCTTTGATGCTCATCCGAGTCCCACAGTTACGTGGTTCACATGGTGCACCCTCCCTGTCCCCACCCTGCCGTTTGCGTTGGAATCCCTGGCTGGGAGGGATGGGCACCTGTGACTAAGAGAGACCTAATAGGTGTGGGCTCTGGCACCTGGATCTGAAGGCCCTGCATTTCAGTAGGTACAGGAAGGGACTAGGCCGGGGGGGTTTGTGGATACTGATAGGCAGCAACCACGATGCACAGCTGCTGCAGAGGCTCTCAGGCTCTGGGCCACACTTCCCACAGAAGCAGGCAGCATGTGGGGAGAGGTCATTCTGCTCTGAGCGGCTCAGTGCTCATGGAGCAAAATGGACCTCTGAGGGATGCAGGCCAACAGGGTGTGATGGACAAAGCAGGTGTGGGGCCAGAGCTGACACGTATGGTTAAGCAGGTTGTGCACTGTACAAAGGTGGCTGTATTCACATTGCACATAGAGACTTATATATTTATTTATTTTTCTAGCAGATGATGATAAAGTTCTTAAAAATATACTATGAAAATTTTTTTGATAGTTTTAAAGAAGGGATGCTTTAAAAATAACTTGTCACAAAGTTATTTGAGACTGACTGAGCAGGAGGGTGTATGTCAGGGGACTTGGGATATTGGCTTCTATCCAGTGGCACCCCGCCCTCCCTGTGCCCTGTAGCGGTGGTGACGCTGATTGAAGACGGGAAGAATGACTCCCTGCCGTCTGAGTCCACGTCGCACAGGTGGCGGGGGCCTGCCTGCAGGCCCCCCGATAGCTCCTACAACAGCCTGTACTCCACCTGCCTGGAGCTGTTCAAGTTCACCATCGGCATGGGCGACCTGGAGTTCACTGAGAACTATGACTTCAAGGCTGTCTTCATCATCCTGCTGCTGGCCTATGTAATTCTCACCTACATCCTCCTGCTCAACATGCTCATCGCCCTCATGGGTGAGACTGTCAACAAGATCGCACAGGAGAGCAAGAACATCTGGAAGCTGCAGGTGGGTGGGTGGAGTTGGGGGGTGGTGAGTGGCGCGGAGAGTGTGGGCGGCTCTGTCTGCTGTCTTACACAGCTGGCTGCAGGTGGGTGGGTGGTGGGGGCGGTGTGTGGCCAGGAGGGTATGGGCCTCTCTATCCGCTGCCTTACCCAGCTGGGCACATGAGCCCTGCAGGATTTGAGGAGGGAGCAGAAAGCCCGGCCAGGCCCGGGGATCCAGCCTCAGCACCTCCCTCAGTGGACTTCCAGCAAGTTCCCCTGCCCAGCACCTGCTCAGGGGCAGATGAGCTCAGCTGGTGTTTATAGACACCGTGCTTGGCTGTGGTCTGGGTGGTCCTGGAGGGAAGAAGGGGGAGGGCTCAGCCCGACAGGGTGTCCACCTCAGAGGAGCCTGGTGTAAGGTGGGCACCAGAGGCCAGACTCAGGGGAGCAGCTACCATGAGGCAGGGCCCTGACAGCTACATTTCTGGCCCCGTGGGCCACATCTGCATCCCCAACTACTAATAATAAGTTTCGTTCTTATGAAGAAGCACTTTCTCTGTGATAGGGACTGTACTAAGTGTCTGTCTCACCTGATCTCATTTAATCCTCACAACAGTCCTGTGAAGTGGATTCTATTACTGTTCCTTTTTTTTTTTTTTTTTTTTTTTTTCTGAGATGGAGTCTTACTCTGTCACCCAGGCTGGAGTGCATTGGCATGATCTTGGCTGACTGCAACCTCTGCCTCCCGACTTCAAGCGGTTCTTCTGCCTCAGCCTCCCTAGTAGCTGGGATTGCAGGCACCCACCACCACACCCAGCTAATTTTTGTATTTTTAGTAGAGATGGGGTTTCACCATGTTGGCCAGGCTGGTTTTGAACTCCTGACCTCAGGTGATCTGCCTGCCTTGGCCTCCCAAAGTGCTGGGATCACAGGCGTGAGCCACTGTGCCTGGCTATACTGTTCCGTTTTTGAATGAATGAGGCACTGAGGCGTAGTGAAGTTAGGTATCTGTGCTCAAGGCCACATGGCTGGTAAGTGGCAGAGCCAGGACCTGGCCCAGGCAGTCTCACTCGTGGCCCTGCTCTCAGCCCTACCCTATGTTGCCCCTTGTGAGCTCCTCAGGGCAGGGTCTGGGGCCTCCGTATCACTCCCGGGGCTGCCCTGCCCAGGCCCGGCAGGCACCAGTGGCACCTGGACAGGTCTGGGCTGGCTGGGCTGTGCCCCTTGTATACAGTGTACCCCCGCCAGGCTACAGAAACAAAGCTAGCGTGGAGGGCACTGGACAACCACCCTGGAGGCATCTAGGCCTGGGAGAGCCCCTGGGGAGCTGGATACTGGCAGCCAGGGTGGCCCCGGGATGCACCCTCTGCCCCTCAGCTCCTCTGCCCTTGGTGTCTTCCTGCAGAGAGCCATCACCATCCTGGACACGGAGAAGAGCTTCCTTAAGTGCATGAGGAAGGCCTTCCGCTCAGGCAAGCTGCTGCAGGTGGGGTACACACCTGATGGCAAGGACGACTACCGGTGGTGCTTCAGGTAATGCCCAGGCTCCACCTGAATCAGGGCTTGGGAGCTTTGGGGCTCACCTGTGGACACAGAGCCTGCCTCAGGGCCTCCATGAGGGGCTGGTCATGAGCACAGGGGGCTCTCCCAATGCCAGCTGTAGGGATTGGGGCCGTCCTGAGCTCAGCTGTGGGCGTGCACAGGGGACCATCTTAGATCTCATCTGGTGGGGCCCAGACACTAAATTCTGGAAAATTCGAGGTGTCCAGAAGGGGCCGTCTAGTGAGCAGCGTCAGAGCCTGGCATCCAATATGTGAAGTCCCCCTGGGCCTCACAGTGTGCTCAGAGATCACATCTTTGAGGATGGTGTCCAAAAATCAAGTCCTCTCTGCCCTCCCCGACCCACCACATCTCCATCCTGATGGGTGGGTTTCTTGGGCTTGGCCTGTGGGCAGAGCCCTTGGCCCGGGAAGCTGGGCACAGCTCTCAGGCTCTCCCGACCCCTTACCCTGCAGGGTGGACGAGGTGAACTGGACCACCTGGAACACCAACGTGGGCATCATCAACGAAGACCCGGGCAACTGTGAGGGCGTCAAGCGCACCCTGAGCTTCTCCCTGCGGTCAAGCAGAGGTGAGGCGTGAGGGCCGGTGCTTGGCGCCTCCTTGGCTGGTGGCCTGATGTTGGGCAGGGGGAGCTTTGCAGGTTCCCCACGCCTTGCCGGGTTCCTCATCCCCCCAGGACCCGGGCGCTGTGGCAGCTCCTGACGTCGGCCATGAGCACATAGTCACGGGCTGACTTGAGCACCTCACTCATGCTGTCACGGCTGACGGCTGATGGCTGACGGCTCACTGGGCCCGTGCAGGCGGCTGTGCCAGCACCTCCAGCCCAGGCACCTGTCCTCAGCGCCCCAGGGGACGCAGCCCAGCCCCGCCCTGCCTCCTTGTATGGGCTGCCCTGCCTCCTCAGCCCTGTTCCTCACTCTGCACGTGTGCATGCGACGTCCTAGCTCTGAGAGGCTGTGCGGACACAAACAGGCAGACGGGAACACTTGTCACTCATGGACACATCTGGGCAGGTGGAGAAGAGGGGAGGGTGAGAAGAAGAAAGGGGATGCCTTGAGCAGAAAAACCCCAAGGAGGCCGGGCACAGTGGCTCACGCCTGTCATCCCAGCACTTTGGGAGGCTGAGACGGGTGGATCACCTGAGGCCGGGAGTTTGAGACCAGCTTGGCCAACATCGTGAAACCCCATCTCTACTAAAAAAAATACAAAAATTAGCCAGGCATGGTGGCAGGCACCTGTAATCCCAGCTACTCGGGAGGCTGAAGCAGGAGAATCGGTTGAACCTGGGAGGCGGAGGTTGCAGTGAGCCGAGATCGCACCACTACACTCCAGCCGGGGCAACAGAACGAGACTCTGTCTCAAAAAAAAGAACAAATAGAAAAACCCTGAGAAAAATTACTACCAGAAAGAAAGCTGTTTAACAGTTACTGGTAAACATTTAATAGAAAACATTAAATAAATGTCTAATTGAGGACGTTTACCTAGAAATGAAAGAGGCATAGTTTATAGTGGACAAATTTTGAGTTATAATTACAACCCTGAACACTTTGTTTTTGAATTACTTTGTATTTAATTGTAAAAAATTGTGGTAAAATATCTATCTCCTAAAACTTGCCATTTAAATCCTTTTGAAGTGTACAGTTTAGTGTCATTAAGTACATTTACATTATTGTACAACACTCACCACTATCTATTTCCAGAACTTTTTTTTTTTTTTTTCCTGAGATGGAGTCTCACTCTGTTGCCCAGGCTGGAGTGCAGTGGCGTGATCTGGGTTTACTGCACCCTCCGCCTCCCGGGTTCAAGCGATTCTCCTGCCTCAGTCTCCCGAGTAGCTGGGATTACAGGTGCCTGCCACCACGCCCGGCTCATTTTTGTATTTTTATAGTAGAAACGGGTTTTCACCATGTTGGCCAGGTTGGTCTCCTGACCTCAGGTCATCCCAAAGTGCTGGGATGACAGGTGTGAGCCACCATGCCGGGCCTTTTTCCAGAACATTTTAATCATCCCACACGGAAACTCTGTGCCCTTAAAACAACTCCATGACCCCTCCTTCCTGACCGCTTGGCCCCTCCTCCCTGACCGCTTGGCCCCTCCTCCCTGACCGCTTGGCCCCTCCTCCCTGACCCCTTGGCCCCTCCTCCCTGACCCCTTGGCCCCTCCTCCCTGACCACTTGGCCCCTGGCCCCTAACCCCTTGGCCCCTATTCTGTTTTCTATCTTTATGAAAGTGGGACAGAGACGTTAAAGGTTGAGTAGTACTGGGGGCCTCAGAGGCCCAGAGACCTTCTTAACACCCTTTAAATACTCTGAGCCACTCTCTGATCACCCTCATGCAGTCACACCATGAGCTAGCACAGCTCAGCTCTTAGCAAGGACCTGTGGGGAACTCATCTGCCCCAAAGACTTCTGGGCTTCCACCCCCATGAATCCTTCCTCCTCTTCCCCTGTGCTCTGATCCACAGATTCTAGCTGCTTCCGCTGCCCAGCTTTTGATTTCTTCTTCTTTAACTCAAAGGCAATTCCATGCTCTTCTTAGACTGCAGCTCACCGCGTTGTAGTTGGGGAAATGTCCCTAGGCAGAAAGTTAGGGAGATCACAGGGCTCCCCTTGTGAATTTCACTTCTCTTGGGAATTGCAGTTTTTATTTATTTTATTTTATTTTTGAGATGGAGTCTTGCTGTGTTGCCCAGGCTGGAGTGCAGTGGCACGATCTTGGCTCACTGCAACCTCCGCCTTCTGGGTTCAAGTGATCCTCCCACCTCAGCCTCCTGAGTACCTGGGACTACAGGCGCCTGCCACTATACCCGGCTAATTTTTTTTTTTATTATACTTTAAGTTCTAGGGTACATGTGCACAACGTGCAGGTTTGTTACATATGTATACATGTGCCATGTTGGTGTGCTGCACCCATTAACTCGTCATTTACATTAGGTATATCTTCTAATGCTGTCCCTCCCCACTCCCCCAACCCCACAACAGGCCCCGGTGTGTGATGTCCCCCTTCCTGTGTCTGAGTGTTCTCATTGTTCAATTCCCACCTATGAGTGAGAACATGTGGTGTTTCGTTTTTTGTCCTTGCAATAGTTTGCTGAGAATGATGGTTTCCAGCTTCACCCATGTCCCTACAAAGGACATGAACTCATCATTTTGTTATGGCTGCATAGTATTCCACGGTGTATATGTGTACACCTGGCTAATTTTTGTATTTTTAGTAGAGACAGGGCTTCACCGTGTTGGCCAGGCTGGTCTCGAACTCCTGATCTCAGGTGATCTGCGCACCTTGGTCTCCCAAAGTGTTGGGATGACAGGTGCGAGCCACCGTGCCTTGCCTTTTTTTAATGTTTAATTTTAAAAAATCTTTAGCTGCTAAGTTGGTGTTATTTGAGGGACTGCCGTTTTTCACTGCCTGATGTCCTATCTCTGAAAAACGTTTGCTGCCTGTATGTTGCCTATTTTGTGATCGTTGACAGCACGATGGCTAGCCCAGTACTAGATACTCCATTATAGCTGGAAGCGAAAATCTATTTTATCAAAGGCTCATTTTTAGAAAACTGCTCGAGGGTTCCATTGGTTTTTCCACAGGCCTCCTGCGATCGTGTGATTTTCCTGTGAGTTTAGTTGGAAGCAATCCCTGCATCCTGTAATAATGCTTATTGATGATCTCTTTGTCAGTTGTTAACTGGTCTAACTTTGCCAGAGAGCTATTGAAAGATAGCTTTGCGTGTGATTTGAGTAGTTTTTCTTTTCTTTTCTTTTTTTTTTTTTTTTGAGACGGAGTCTGGCTCTGTCACCCAGGCTGGAGTGCAGTGGCGCAATCTTGGCTCACTGCAAGCTCCACCTCCCGGGTTCACGCCATTCTCCTGCTTCAGCCTCCCGAGTAGCTGGGACTACAGGCGCCCGCCACTACGCCCGGCTAATTTTTTGTATTTTTAGTAGAGACGGGGTTTCACCATGTTAGCCAGGATGGTCTCGATCTCCTGACCTCGTGATCCGCCCGCCTCGGCCTCCCACAGTGCTGGGATTACAGGCGTGAGCCACCGCGCCCGGCCTTGAGTAGTTTTTCAATGTCACTCTTGTTGATTTAGTGACATCCTACATCTTTGACAAGATTTGCTATTTCACTTGGCAGTTGATTTGTATTATGTTTGCATGACAGTGTTGGCGGTTTACAACACTGCACATTCACTGTGATATTTATAAAGACATTGACCCAGTGGCAGGGGTATACACACCCATGTTAACTGGGGCAGGGATGGGGGATGGTTGGAGGTTGCCTGATGTCACCTTTATAATTTTTTTCTTTTTTTTTTTTTTGAGACAGAATCTTGTTCTGTCGCCCAGGCTGTCACCCAGTGGGCCTGGACCCCAGATCCTGCCTCTTTGGCTGGTGCTCGTCACCCAGAGCTGCCCTGGTGTTGAGCCACTCACAGGACAGGCCTCGGCGTTGCTCTGTGGAGACCCTCTCTCCCTCCCGCTGGGGCAGGGAGGAGATGGAGGCCGAGAGGGGCAGGCGATGGGCTCTCCTGAGGCTGCAAGCAAGTCGGGGTGGGATGGAGGAAGAGAATTTAAGGAACAGCGAGAGTGCATGAGGCTCTTTGAGTAGTTGAGGGAGGAGGACATTGCACCGATCCAGGTGCCTCAGGAAGCACTCGCATGCCTGGGCCTCGTTTTTTCTTTCTTTCTTTCTTCTTCTTCTTCTTTTTTTTTTTTTTTTTTTTTTGAGACGGAGTTTTGCTCTTTTCGCCCAGGCTGGAGTGCAGTGGCACGATCTCGGCTCACTGCAGCCTGTGCCTCCCAGGTTCAAGTGATTCTCCTGCCTCAGCCTCCCAAGTACTGGGGTTACAGGCATGTGCCACTATGCCCGGCCAATTTTTTTTTTTTTTTTTGTATTTTTAGTAGAGATGGGGTTTCACCATGTTGTCCGGGCTGGTCTTGAACTCCTGACCTCAGGTGATCCACCTGCCTCGGCCTCCCAAAGTGCTGGGATTACAGGCATGAGCCATCGTGCCTGTCTTGGACCTCCTTTTATCTGGAGACTTGGGAGGCCAAGAAGTGAATGTTTGTTTTGTTGCATCCAAGGTAGTAATAGTGTTACCCTTCAGTTTCAGGCAGACACTGGAAGAACTTTGCCCTGGTCCCCCTTTTAAGAGAGGCAAGTGCTCGAGATAGGCAGTCTGCTCAGCCCGAGGAAGTTTATCTGCGACAGTTTTCAGGGTCTCTGAAGCCAGAGGACGCTGAGGTCTTCAAGAGTCCTGCCGCTTCCGGGGAGAAGTGAGGACGTCACGCAGACAGCACTGTCAACACTGGGCCTTAGGAGACCCCGTTGCCACGGGGGGCTGCTGAGGGAACACCAGTGCTCTGTCAGCAGCCTGGCCTGGTCTGTGCCTGCCCAGCATGTTCCCAAATCTGTGCTGGACAAGCTGTGGGAAGCGTTCTTGGAAGCATGGGGAGTGATGTACATCCAACCGTCACTGTCCCCAAGTGAATCTCCTAACAGACTTTCAGGTTTTTACTCACTTTACTAAACAGTTTGGATGGTCAGTCTCTACTGGGACATGTTAGGCCCTTGTTTTCTTTGATTTTATTCTTTTTTTTGAGACAGAATTTCACTCTTCTCACCCAGGCTGGAATGCAGTGGCACAATTTTGGCTCCCTGCAACCTCCGCCTCCTGGATTCCAGCAATTCTCCTGCCTCGGCTTCCCAAGTAGCTGGGATTACAGGCACGTGCCACCATGTCTGGCTAATTTTTTGTATTTTTTTAATAGATATGGGGTTTCGCCATGTTGGCCAGGCTGGTCTCGAACTCCTGACCTCAGGTGATCCGCCCACCTCGGCCTCCCAAAGTGCTGGGATTACAGGTGTGAGCCTCCACACCTGGCTGTTTTCTTTGATTTTATTCTTTTTTTTTTTTTCTGTGAGACAGAGTTTCACTCTTGTTGCCCAGGCTGGAGTGCAGTGGTGTGATCTTGGCTCACTGCAACTTCTGCCTCCCGGGTTCAAGCGATTCTTCTGCTTCAGTCTCCCAAGTAGCTTGGATTACAGGTGAGCACTACCACGCCCGGCTAATTTTTGTATTTTTAATAGAGACGGGGTTTCACCATGTTGGCCAGGCTGGTCTCGAACTCTTGACCTCAGGTGATCTGCCCGCCTTGGCCTCCCAAAGTGCTGGGATTACAGGTGTGAGCCGCTGCGCTCGGCCTTCTTTGATTTTATATTATTAGGAGCAAAAGTAAATGAAGCCCAGGAAAACACCTTTGGGAACAAACTCTTCCTTTGATGGAAAATGCAGAGGCCCTTCCTCTCTGTGCCGTGCTTGCTCCTCTTACCTGCCCGGGTGGTTTGGGGGTGTTGGTGTTTCCTCCCTGGAGAAGATGGGGGAGGCTGTCCCACTCCCAGCTCTGGCAGAATCAAGCTGTTGCAGCAGTGCCTTCTTCATCCTTCCTTACGATCAATCACAGTCTCCAGAAGATCAGCTCAATTGCTGTGCAGGTTAAAACTACAGAACCACATCCCAAAGGTACCTGGTAAGAATGTTTGAAAGATCTTCCATTTCTAGGAACCCCAGTCCTGCTTCTCCGCAATGGCACATGCTTCCACTCCATCCATACTGGCATCCTCAAATAAACAGATATGTATACATATATATCGTGTCAAGTGTAAAGTTTGTGGCAGGAAATGGGCTGGCATAGCTAATTGGCTCTGTGTAGGCTGCTTGTGGATGCGTGTGTATACACATGGGGGTGTGTGTGTGGGTGTGTGCATGCATGCATGTTTGTGTGTGTGTGTGTGTACGTGTGTGTACATTCCTATGGTTGCATTCCTGCTATAATGCAGAAGGGAATAGTTGCAACAGAGACCAAATAGTTTGCAAAGCCTAAAATATAAGCTTACCTAAAATATAAAAAGCTTACCTAAAATATAAAAAACATACTATCTGGCCCTTTACAGAAGAGTTTGCTGACTCTTCCTTTGTAGAATAGAGCTTAAGAAACAGATACTCTACTCTGCTCTCCCTCTCCCTCTCCCTCTCCCTCTCCCTCTCCCTCTCCCCATGGTCTCCCTCTCCCGATGGTCTCCCTCTCCCTCTCTTTCCACGGTCTCCCTCTCATGCCGAGCCGAAGCTGGACTGTACTGCTGCCATCTCGGCTCACTGCAACCTCCCTGCCTGATTCTCCTGCCTCAGCCTGCCCAGTGCCTGCGATTGCAGGCGCGCGCCGCCACGCCTGACTGGTTTTCGTATTTTTTTGGTGGAGACGGGTTTCGCTGTGTTGGCCGGGCTGGTCTCCAGCTCCTAACCGCGAGTGATCCGCCAGCCTCGGCCTCCCGAGGTGCCGGGATTGCAGACGGTGTCTGGTTCACTCAGTGCTCAATGGTGCCCAGGCTGGAGTGCAGTGGCGTGATCTCGGCTCACTACAACCTCCACCTCCCAGCCGCCTGCCTTGGCCTCCCAAAGTGCAAAGCTTGCAGCCTCTGCCTGGCCGCCCATCGTCTGGGATGTGAGGAGCCCCTCTGCCTGGCTGCCCCGTCTGGAAAGTGAGGACTGTCTCCGCCCGGCCGCCCATCGTCTGAGATGTGGGGAGCGCCTCTGCCCCGCCGCCCCATCTGGGATGTGAGGAGCGCCTCTGCCCGGCCACGACCCCGTCTGGGAGGTGAGGAGCGTCTCTGCCCAGCCGCCCCGTCTGAGAAGTGAGGAGCCCCTCCACCCGGCAGCTGCCCCTACTGGGAAGTGAGGAGCGTCTCCGCCCGGCAGCCACCCCGTCCAGGAAGGAGGTGGGGGTCACCCACCGCCAGGCCAGCCGCCCCGTCCGGGAGGTGAGGGGCGCCTCTGCCTGGCCGCCCCTACTGGGAAGTGAGGAGCCCCTCTGCCCGGCCACCACCCCGTCTGGGAGGTGTGCCCAACAGCTCATTGAGAACGGGCCATGATGACAATGGCGGTTTTGTGGAATAGAAAAGGGGGAAAGGTGGGGAAAAGATTGAGAAATCGGATGGTTGCCGTGTCTGCGTAGAAAGAAGTAGACATGGGAGACTTCATTTTGTTCTGTACTAAGAAAAATTCTTCTGCCTTGGGATCCTGTTGATCTGTGACCTTACCCCCAACCCTGTGCTCTCTGAAACATGTGCTGTGTCCACTCAGGGTTAAATGGATTAAGGGCGGTGCAAGATGTGCTTTGTTAAACAGATGCTTGAAGGCAGCATGCTCGTTAAGAGTCATCACCACTCCCTAATCTCAAGTACCCAGAGACACAAACACTGCGGAAGGCCGCAGGGTCCTCTGCCTAGGAAAACCAGAGACCTTTGTTCACTTGTTTATCTGCTGACCTTCCCTCCACTATCGTCCTATGACCCTGCCAAATCCCCCTCTGTGAGAAACACCCAAGAATGATCAATAAAAAAATAAATTAAAAAAAAAAAGATAAAAAATAAACACATTGTGAAAAAAAAAAAAGAAACAGATACTCTGAAAGAGAGATCTGTTCCAGACTGGGCAGGTTGTGTTAGTATCTGCGGAGTGTAGAATGAGTTGTTCAGTTGTGGAATTATTGGATGTTGGTTCATGAAAGGATGAACTTTGGCTGAGGCTGAGGCTTGGGCCCTACCAGGAGAGGTGTTTTGGGAGAAAATACTGGGATCCCTCCTCCCTGTTCTCTAGCATCATGTCTGCCTCCACATAGGAGGCGCCACGGAGGAGCCCCAGTTGCCTGCATGTGACTATGGCAAGTGAGCCTGGAGCCTGGAGGAGGGAGGCCGACAGCCGGGATGTGGGGAGTGTTTATGAAGGTGCTCCATGTGCATCTCCCTTTAAGTCTCCTAACAGCTCGTGAAGAAGCTATTATTAGTTCCCTTTTATAGATGAGAAAATCAAGGTTCCAACAGTGAGTAAGGTTGCACAGCCAGTAAACACGTTGCCTAGGTTTGACCCCAGGCAGTCTGACTCCAAAGCCTGGCTCTTAACTGCTGTGTCAGGCTGCCTGGCAGAGAATGTGCTGGGGCATGCCAGCCTATCCTGGGCCAGAGGGAGGTGGGAGGGCTTCTCGCTTCCTGCTGTGGGCCTGGGGCTCCATGCTTTACCTGTAGGCCTTTCTTAGAAAATGTGTGGGTGTCAGACAGCTGCAAACTTCTGCAAATTGGATCAGCTTTTTGTTTTGTTTTGTTTTTTGAGACAGAGTCTTGCTCTGTCACCCAGGCTGGAGTGCAGTGGCATGATCTCAGCTCACTGCAACCTCTGCCTTCTGGGTTCAAGGGATTCCCCTGCCTCAGCCTCTTTAGTAGCTGGATGACAGGTGCCTGCCACCACGCCTGGCTAATTTTTGTAGTTTTAGTAGAAATGGGGTTTCACCATGTTGGCGGGGCTGGTCTTGAACTCCTGACCTCAAGTGATCCAGCTGCCTTGGTTTCCCAAAGTACTGGGATTACAGGTGTGAGCCACCGTGCCCAGCCTGGATCAGCTTTCAAATTTACTCAGAGCTGGAAGGGATCCTGTGGTTGTACTTTTGCAAAACTAATGATAGAAATTTTTTGTTATTAGATTGGAAACCTGAGATTGTTTAAGGAAGGATATACCTGCAATTCATATGTCTTTCTTTTTTAAAAAATTAATAAGCTTTATTTTAATTTTATTTTTTTGAGACAGGGTCTTGCTCTCTTGCCCAGGTGGGAGCACAGTGGTGTGGTCATGGCTCAATGCAGCCTCAAACTCTTGAGCTCGAGCGATCCTCCTGCCTTAGCCTCCTGAGTAGCTGGGTCTACAAGCGTGAGCCACCACGCCTGGCAATTTTTTTTTCCCCGTGCAGAGATGTGGTCTTGCTATGTTGCTCAGGCTGGTCTTGAACTCCTGGCCTCAAGCAGTCCTCCCGCCTTGGCCCCACAAAGTACTGGCATTGCGGTGCCAGCCACAGGGCTTGGCCAGCTTTATTTTTCGAGCAACTTTAGGTTCACAGCAAAATTGACACAAAAAATATATAGGAAGTTCTCATACACCTGCTGTGCCCACAACCTCCCCAGCTACTGCCATCCTGCCCCAGAGTGGTACATTGTTACAATCAGTGAGTTGACATTGATACATCATTATCATCCAAAGTCCAGCTCATGCCTGTAATCCCAGTACTTTGGGAGGCTGAGGCGGGCGGATCACCTGAGGTCAGGAGTTTGAGACCAGCCTGGCTAACACGGTGAAACCCCGTCTCTACTAAAAATACAAAAATTAGCCAGGTGTGGTGACGCACGTCTGTCACCCCAGCTACTCGGGAGGCTGAGGCAGGAGAATCACTTGAACCCGGGAGGCAGAGGTTGTGGTGAGCCGAGGTCATGTCACTTTACTCCAGTCAGGGCGACAGAGTGACTCCGTCTCAAAAAAAAAAAAAAAAGAAACCAAAATACAAAAAACAAAGTCCACTGGGGTCACTCTTGGGGTTATAGATTCCATGGGTTTTGACAAATGTATGACCTGCGTTTATCATTATAGTATCACACAGAGGAATTTTATTGCCTAAAAATCCTCCATCCTCCACCTATTAATCCGTCCCTCTCTCCAGCTCCTGGCAACACCGACCTTTTTTTTTTTTTGCGACGGAGTCTCGCTCTGTCACCCAGGCTGGAGTGCAGTGGTGTGATCTTGGCTCACTGCAAGCTCCATCTCCCAGGTTCATGCCATTCTCCTGCCTCAGCCTCCCGAGTAGCTGGGACTACAGGCACCCGCCACCACGCCTGGCTAATTTTTTGTATTTTTAGTAGAGACGGGGTTTCACTGTGTTAGCCAGGATGGTCTCGATCTCCTGACCTCGCGGTCCGCCCGCCTCGGCCTCCCAACGTGCTGAGATTACAGGCGTGAGCCACCGCGCCCGGCCAACACTGACCCTTTTTTTTTTTTTTTTTTTCTGAGACGGAGTTTTGCTCTGTCGCCCAGGCTGAAGTGCAGTGGTGCAATCACGGCTCACTGCAGCCTCGACCTCCTGGGCTCAAAGATCCTCCCACCTCAGCCTCCTGAGTAGCTGCGACTATAGGTGAGAGCCACCACGCCTGGCTCATTTTTGTATTTTTTGTAGGGATGGGGTTTCGTCATGTTGCCCAGGCCAGGTCTTGAGCTCCTGGCCTCAAGCAATCCACCTGCCTTGGCCTCCTCAAATACTGGGATTACAGATGTGAGCCACCGTGCCTGGCCAGCCACTGATCTTTTACTGCCTTTTCCAGCATGTCATGTAGTTGGCATCATCAATACAATACATAGCCTTTTCAGATTGATTTATTGTACTTAGTATTATGCATTAGAGTTTCCTCCAGGTCTTTTCGTGGCATGAGAGCTCATTTCTTTTATTGGAGGATAACATTCCATTCTCTTGGATGTAGCACTCTTTTTTTTTTTTTTTTTTTTTTTTTTTTTTGAGACGGAGTCTTGCTCTGTCGCCCAGCCTGGAGTGCAGCGGTACAACCTCGGCTCACTGCAAGCTCCGCCTCCCAGGTTCACGCCATTCTCCTGCCTCAGCCTCCCGAGTAGCTGGGACTACAGGCACCCACCACCATGCCCAGCAAATTTTTTTGTATTTTTTGTAGAGATGGGGTTTCGTCATGTTGCCCAGGCCAGGTCTTGAACTGCTGGCCTCAAGCAATCCACCTGCCTTCGCCTCCCAAAGTGCTGGGATTACAGGCGTGAGCCACCACGCCTGGCCGGATGTACCACTCTTTATCCATTCACCTACTGAAGGACATTTTGGTTGCTTCCAAGTTTTGGCAATTATAAGTAAAGTTGCTATAAATATCTATGGGCAATTTTTGTGTGGGCATAAGTTTTCAGCTTCTTTGAATAAACACCAAAGAGTGTGATTGCTGGATTGAATGGTAAGAGTATGTTTAGTTTTGTAAGAAACCACCAAAGTGTCTTTCAAAGTGGCTGCACCGTTTTACATTCCCACCAGTGATGGCCGAGAGTTCCTGTTGCTCCATGTCCTCACCAGCATTTGCTGGTGCTGTCAACATTTTGGATTTGGGCCATTCTAAAGAGTATGAAGTGGTCATTTTATCTTTTATCTTTTTTTCTGTTTCTCTCTGTGTGTGTGTGTGTGTTTAATTTAAACTTAATAGCATTGACCAATGTGTTGTATGCATTTACACTATAGCATGTTATATTTTTGTTCTGATCATATTCCTTTTCACTTTTCCATTCTTTTTCTTTTTTCTTTCTTTCTTTTTTTTTTTTTTTTTTGGAAACGGAGTCTCGCTCTGTTGCCCAGGCTGTACAGTGGTGCAGTCTCGGCTCACTGCAACCTCTGCCTCCTAGGTTCAAGCAATTCTCCTGCCTCAGCCTCCCGAATAGCTGGGACTACAGTGTGCAGCACCTCACCCCGCTAATTTTGTATTTTTAGTAGAGACGGGGTTTCACCATGTTGTGGCCTCTTCCCTCCTTCCAAGTCCAGGCAGATGCTCCCTCTTTCCCGAACTCATCCCCTACACCCCATCACAGGGACTTCCTCCCGCCTTGGGGGTCTCAGCCCATTTTGTCCTGATGACCCACATGGTGGGTCATGGTTCCTGCCTGAGCCTGTGTCCCCTGTGGCCCACGAGGGTGGACACGGCCTTCTCCAGTTCTGAATCCCTCGTTGTCCACCTGCGCCCTTGCCACGGCCTCTCCCGTGGGCTCTCACCATGTGCTGGGTTAAATGGGGTTGAATATAGACCATCTAAGGGGCTGAAGCTGCTGCTTCTGTGTGTTTGGGGTGGGATTAGGATGGGCTCGGGCTTCCTAAGTAGTGACTGTGACTCCACTGGGTGACCTGGCTCCTGCTGCCTCTCATAGCAGAGCGGGGGTCCCCTTCTTCCTTGCTGGGCACAGGGCACACCTCTGGGTGGGAGACAGGGGCCTTTTTCACCAGCTCCCACCTGCCCTCTGAGAAAAGTTATGAACACGAGCAAAATGGAAGCACTGACATTTGGCAGCAGCTTCCTCCCCAGGCGTCTGAGCCGCCAGAGGCAAACAGGGAGGGCGCGGGGCTGGGTCGGGAGAGGGTGAGTAAGCTAGTGGCCGGAGGCCGTGCTCAACCCCAGATCGGGCTTTTCCGGTCGAGTTTCAGGCACAGTCATGAGATTTCAGATTGTGAGTGGGAACTTCAGGACCCCCTGACTTCAACGGCAGAAGCGGTCTCCTGCTTCACCCACACCCTCAAGTCTGGTCTGCCCCTTACCGGCCATAGGTCCTGCTCTCCCGTGGCCTAGAAGCCTCACCTGCCTCCTGCCTCCTCCCCAGGCCAGGCAGGTTGTGATGATGAGGGATTGAGAGGCTCACAGCTGGGGATTTCCCTGCCCATCAGGCGCCAGCTGCGGCCGCGTCAGCAGAGACTTCCTGCTCTGTCCCAGCTGTGTCTTGTCCACATCTCGCCCCGGGGAGCAGGTGTGCAGTTCCTGAGTGACGCGAGACACACACGGCCATCCTGACTCACTCCACCCACTTCACAGCTGCAGCCTGGGCCAGGAGAGAGGGCACCGATTCCTTCTATGACGCCCTGGCCTTGGAGAAGGGCAACCTGGGCAGTTGCTGGGAGAATACATTGAGATGACAAAAGCAATCATAGCTAAGAGCTGACATTGTTTATTGAGTTCTTGCCGTGCCCTGGGCCTTGTTCTGGCCCTTTCTACTTGTACTTGTTGAAGCCCCACGATAACCTTGCAAAGTGGGTTTATGAAGCACGTTTCACAGATGAGGAGACTGAGGCTCGGAGAAATGACCTGCTAAGGTCATTCAGCCAGGAAGGGGTGAGGCTGACACTAAGGGCCATGATGCGTGACTGCTGGTGGACAGCATTAAATGGGGACTTCCGTCCCCGAGAGACCTGATCCCAGGAACCGACTTTTGAGAACAAGTGCCGAGTCTTGGGGCTGGCCACCCTGAGGTCAACCAGGCTAGGCCTGGGCTGCGGTCTTCCCTCCCAGGGGACAGAGCAGAGCGCTTGACTCTTCACTAGGCCCTCCCACCTCTGTGATCTCTTTGGCTCTTCACGGCTCCCTTGGAAAGTAGATGTTATCATTCCCATTTCCTAGTTGGAAAAATAGGCCTGAGATGGGCAGTCCCTGCCCAGCATGGAATGCCAGAGAGGGAGGAGTTGGACCCACAACTTCGATCTTGGCACCTGCGGCCTCCCCTGCCTTTTCTCCGGTGGGGATGAGGCTGCTGTGTGGGTGTGGGGGTGACTCACACGGGCCACGTGGGTGGGCGGGTGCTGCAGCTGTGGCTGGTGGGCGTGGCCTGCCTGGCGCCGAGGGCAGGTGGCTCAGCCAGTTCTGCCTCTGACGCCTCATTCCAGCCATCCCTCTGCCTGCAATGAGAGCTTCCCGCCGCCTCAGCCACAGTCCCACCCGGGGGCCTTGGGCCCCAGACATGCGGTGATCTCAGGGCAAGGGTTGCCACGACCACCCAGAACCTCACCAGGTGAGTCTTCTGTGCACAAGGCAGCTGGTGATCTCCAAGGCCCCTGGGGAGCCCAGAGCGTGGCCCTCAGAGGTCCTCTGGGCCATGTCTGCCCTTGGCCAATAGGCCTTGGGAGGAGGGTTGGAAGGAGCTTGGGCCCCAGCCAGGGGCCCACTCTTGGCTGTAGGGAGGCACTCTTGGCTGCACTCTTGGCTGTAGGGATGTGTGAGAATATAGGTCCTTACAGACTCAGGAACATTCCCCTGAGGTTTGGGAATCCTGGGGAGGGACATCTCAATCTCACCACTGCTGGGGGCAGAGGAGAGGCTCCTGCCTCCCGAGGCTGACCCAGGGAGGTGGCTTTCTGGGGCAGGATTGTGATGGGAGTTCAGGATGGGAGGAGGTGGCCCCACCGTGGGAGACAGACGGGGCCCAGGCATCTCACAGGTGCTGAGTCAGCAGCTGTGGCTCCGCGGCCTGGTCTGTCGCCCGGGAAAGGCCATTTCAATCAGTGTCAGGGATTGGGAGAGAGAGGGAGGGCCAGGGCAACAAGAGAGTCCAGCAGGTGAGAACGTGGGGTTTACGGGGTGACTCAGGGAGCTAATGATAGCTGCTGCGGCCCTAGTCCAGAGTTCCCTGAGCCTCTCCTGCCCCAGAGGCCCAGGGCAGGCCACATTCTCGGGCCCAGAGAAGAGAGAGAGCAACCAGCTCTCAGGGCCACAGAGTCCTTGGGGACCATTCAGCCCACTTCTCAGAAAGGAAACCAGAGGCCCTGGGAGGGGCAAGAGACGTGCCCTTCTTCTGTCTCCTTCACGCTCGGTGCATCCCAGCCTTTTAGTCCACCAAAGGCCACGTGGGGATGGGGAAAGCCATAGAGGCTGCCCATCCTCATCAGGCCGTGACTGGACACGGGAGGGCCGGGTGCCCAGGAGTCCCTCTCTGTGGGCTACTCCACCTGCCTGGCCTCAAGGTTGCCTACGCTCCAGGGCCAAAGCTCTCCCTCGCCGATGCCTCCTCCATCCTGAGCCTGCTCCCTTTGAGTTGGAGGGCGGGGGACTCTCTCCAGCCTGATGACACCTGGCTCCGGAAACTTCCTCCAGGAAGCTTTCCTATTGGGGTAGGATCACCAGTGGCCCCAGCTCCACCCCACCCAGCTGGGTTCTTCTTACAGAAATCCGTCTTCCTGCCCCCACCTATGTGTCGCCAGGTGAGTCCCCTGAGGATGATTCAAGCTGAGAGTGGCACCCCCTGACCACACAGTCACCACCTGTCCACACAGCCCTTTCCCCGCCCATGTCATCCCTCTGTGGCCAGCTGGCCCCCTTCCCCGTCCCTATGGCCCCTGCAGCAGCCTCCTCCTGGCCCCTGGCTTCTGGTCTCCCCCACCCCCCAACGCAGCCCGCGCTCTCCTATGTAACCCAGAGCCTCTGCACCCAACTCCCAGCTGCCCCCAGGGGTCAGCCATAGCTCCTTTTTTATGTTTAATAAAAACTTTATTTTTTTTTTTTTTCATTTTTTTTGAGACGGAGTCTCGCTCTGTCGCCCAGGCTGGAGTGCAGTGGCACAATCTCGGCTCAATCCAACCTCTGCCTCCTGGATTCAAGTGATTCTCCTGCCTCAGCCTCCCGACTAGCTGGGACTACAGGCATGTACCACCATGCCCGGCTAATTTTTTGTATTTTAGTAGAGACGGGGTTTCACCATGTTGCCCAGGCTGGTCTTGAACTCCTGAGCTCAGGCAATCTGCCCACCTTGGCCTCCCAAAGTGCTGGGATTACAGGTGTGAGCCACTGTGCCTGCCTGAAGCCACAGCTCTTATGCGGTGTTCGAGGACTATACAGGGCCCAGCCTGCCCGCATGGCTTTCGCTGGCAGGGTCCCCATGAGCTCCCCAGGTTCTCTGGCCACAGCAGCTCCCCCCACTCCTGCCACTCCTGACCCTCCCAGGCTCTGTCCTCTGCCCGGCTTGTCCTTCCTCCACACAGCAGCCTGTACGGTCTATCCTGGTCTTGTTGGAAGATGTATCAGTCCCCCTTCCCCAATCCCCACACCCCTCGGAGCTCAGCACGGTGCCCAGCCCACATTGAGCATCAGTAAAGCAGGTCTGGACTGGGGGGTCGGCCTCCTCTGCCTGGGGCAAGGGGACTCAGCTGCTCCCTGCAGGTGAGAGGGGAATCTAATGGACAGGCAGCCATAAGCTGGTTACACACAGCTTTGGGTGGGCGGGGGAGATGATCGGTGTGTTGGCTGCAGAGACCACCTGGACACTGAGGAATCCAAAACACCTGAGGAGCTTAAGGCTGTGTTACTAGGAGCATAACATCTAGAGCAAAGGAGGTGATAATCTTGCTCTGTGGAGGTCAAAACTCTTGGAGAGCTGCTCATCACAAAATCGGAGAGGGACCTCAGGAAAGCAGAGCTAGTGCTTAGGAGTCCGCCTGGGACTGGTCAGCTGGAGAGGGTGTCATGAGAGAGGACAGGGGCATGGTGGTCTCTACCGGGACACCCTGCTGGACTCTCCACTAGTTCAGGGGTCCACCTGGGGACTGGTTGGCTGGGGAGGGTGTCATGAGAGAGGACAGGGGCATGGTGGTCTCTACTGGGACACCCTGCTGGGCTCTCCTAGGACCATAGCATTTGGGGGTGCTAGAGCAGGGAGCTGGGGAAGCTTTGGGGACAGCTTCTCTGTCCTTGAAGAAGGATTGGTGAACTGGGAAGGGAGGAGTGAGCTTCCAGTTCCAGGTAGTGTGAACGGGAGCTGGATGCAGCCACATGGGGCCCCTAAACTCCCTGAAGCTCCCCCTGTCCCCCCGGCCTGAGCATCTGCCCTGTGGTTGTATTCCAGCCATGAAAGCCCACCCCAAGGAGATGGTGCCTCTCATGGGCAAGAGAGTTGCTGCCCCCAGTGGGAACCCTGCCATCCTGCCAGAGAAGAGGCCGGCGGAGATCACCCCCACAAAGAAGAGGTGGGTTTGGAGAGCTCGGGACACGGACTGCGGCACTGTGAGGGGCACGAGTGGGGGCCTGGCACCCCCCCAGGGAGCCCTTGCCTTGGGGAGACCTGAGACTCTCAGTCTCGCCCGGGGTGGCCCGGTGCCCGGCGAGGTATGACTAGGGGATGGTGCGGTGGGGAGCACAGCACACTCAGGGGGCTGAGCTGGGGTAGTCAGTGTGACTGGCACAATTAGGGAAGCCTCCTTGGAGGGATCGGGGGTGCTGAGGCAGGAGCAGTCAGGAGGGCTCCTGAGGGAGGTGAGGGATGGCTGGAGCCACCCTTGAGACGAGGAGCAAAATGCTGGCTGGAAGTTCCAGGTGACCCGGAGCCTCTGTTGGGCACGTTTTCCACACACACACCCATGGCTTTCCATCCACTCTGCACCCAGCCGGGTTATTCAAGCTCTTGAACTCCACCTTTGGAATGGGGACACCGGCAATGGCACCAACTATAGGATGATGGTTAATTGGGATCAAGTCAACAAAGTGCTCAGTGCAGCGCCTGGCACGCGGTCAGCGCTCAGCATGTGTTGGCATTGAGAGTGTTTCTGTGACCTTCACCATCATCATTGTCCTCATCACTCCACGGAGCCCCTGGGAACTGGGCAGGGCTGGGATGATCAGCTTTACTTCTTCGCTGGGGACGTGGAGGAGACCTGGAGCAGAGAAAGGACCTCTCTAGGGTCACCCATCCCGCCCCTCCGCTGCCTCCATTATAGATTCTGCACCCCCAGCTCATTGGGTGCCTCTCACGCTGTCCCCCAGCCCACTTCACCTGTGCGTCCCTTGAACCCGGGGTGGCCCTGCCTCCTCTGCCTGTATCCCAGGCCCCCTTTGGGCCAGGGCTGAGCTTGGTGCTTCCCCTCTGTTAGTTGGAGCTATAATCATTGAGGTGTCCTGTGTACCAGCCCCAGGGTTGGGCTCAGGATAAGGAGTTTGGGACATGGAGAGAAAAATGCCCACGTCTGCTCACAGTCTGGTGAAAGGGGAGTCGAGGAGAGAGTGGGAAGTGACCACAGAGAGGTGAACTAGCCCCGTGGGGCCTGAAGAGTGGCAGGTTATTCTGATCCTGTAGGCAGTCTCAGGGGACTTCCTGGAGGAGGTGGTGCTAGAGAGGATGTGGAGAGGAAGGAAAAAGTGCATCTGGGCAGAGGGACATGAGAGCCATGGCTCAGAGTGGGGCCACTGAGGTGAGGAGTCTGGTGTAGCTGAAGTACCGGCCAGTAGAGGAGTCTTTGGGGAGGCGAGTCCCACTGGAGCTGAGTCCTGGGGGTCAGTCAAGGAACTTGGATAATCCTCAGGGCAGTGGGGAGCCATGGAGGGATTTTTTGTGGGAGGGAGGGCATGGTGAGATGTGCCTTCTGGAGAGGTGACTCTGGGGGATCTGCGTGGATGACGGATTAGAGGAGAGGCTGACAGCAGGGAGACCATGAGGAGGCCTTTGGGAAGCCCAGGTGATAGGTGGTGATGTCTGAGCCTGGGTGGTCACGGATAAAGAGGAGGGGGCAGCACAGACAGGTGCCAGTATCATGGGGTCTGCAGGACCAGCCACGGGAGGTAAAGGAGAAGGAGGAGTCCCGGTGGGAGGGCCTGGAGGGATGGCGGGGCCATCTGACATGGCGCATCAGAGGAGAAGATCCAGGTCAGGAGGAATGAGCCAAATTCAGTTGTGAAATGTTGGGTGGGAGGTGCCTGAGAGACACCCAGGTGGAGGCTCCATCTTGGAAGGCAAAAGGGAAAACTGGTGGAGAAGGAGCCAGACAGGTGTCGTGTGGGGTCATGGGGGCAGCCTGGGTCTGGGTGGGCTTGTCCAGGAAAGGGCAGAGACATCCCTGAGCTAAGCTGGCAAGGACCACCTCCCTGGCTCTCCTGCCCCTTCCCATCCGCTCTCACTTGTCCAGGGGAGGTTTGGACCTCCGGAAAAAAATGAGGATAGAGTTTTGGGAAAATCCCACGTCCTTTCCTCAGCAGGAACCGTCAGGCTGCCTTCTCTGAGCCCATCCCCCCCATTCACAGATTTAGCTCCAGGCTCAGCTCTGCAAAGCCTCCTCCGCCCAGCCAAGGGCTGAGCTTGGCATGTCTCCTAAATTGCTGTCCACTTCTCTGCCCCAAAGGCCCTCTGAGGACCCTCATGTGAAGGTTTGGGCACCCCCCTCAGAGCTGAGTCGGGGACTTGGGCCCAGAGAGAAACAGAAAAGAATAAATTAAAAGGCCGGGCGCGGTGGCTCACGCCTGTAATCCCAGCACTTTGGGAGGCCGAGGCGGGTGGATCATTTGAGGTCAGGAGTTTGAGACCAGCCTGGCCAACGTGGTGAAATCCTGTCTCTACTAAAAATACAAAAATTAGCCGGGTGTGGTGGCGTGTGCCTATAGTCCCAGTTACTTGGGAGGCTGAGGCAGGAGAATTGCTTGAACCCAGGAGGTGGAGGTTGCAGTGAGCCAAGATTGTGCCACTGCACTCCAGCCTGGGCGACAGAGCAAAACTCTTGTCTCAAAAAAGAAAAGAAAAGAAAAGAAAAGGCCAGGCGTGGTGGCTCACGCCTGTAATCCCAGCACTTTGGGAGGCTGAGGCGGGTGGATCACAAGGTCAGGAGTTTGAGAGTAGCCTGGCCAACATGGTGAAACCCCATTTCTACTAAAAAAAAATACAAAAATTAGCTGGATGCTGTGGTAGGCACCTGTAATCCCAGCTACTTGGGAGGCTGAGGCAGGAGAATTGCTTGAATTTGGGAGGCGGAAGTTGCAGTGAGCTGAGATTGTGCCACTGCACTCTAGCCTGGGTGACATAGCAAGATTCCATCTCCAAAAAAAAAAAAAAAAAAAAAAAAAAAAAGAATAAATTACAGGTGAAGAAAGAGGGCAATGCTGACCCCTAAGGAAACAGGCCTAATGGTGGAATCAAAGGCACCAGGGAGTCTGGAGATAGGAGACACTTTTGGACCTGGGAGTGCTCCTGAACCATCGTGCCATTCCCTGAGAGCAGCTGTCATCTTGGCTTCCTTCCTGGACCCTGGAAAAGGTGATGCCCAGAGACAGAGATACAGACTGATGGAGGCTGTGGAGACACTGGCCTTGCAGAGCCCAGAACACTTGGGCATTTCTTGGCACAAAGCAAATGGATGGACAATCTCCTTCCCAGCCCTGGGCTGTTCAGGGACAGTTCTTCGACTTTAAGGAACAGAAATGCAGTAGAAATGGTATAGAGCTATCTGCTCACCTGGGTCAACCACACCCAGCTGGTGCCCTTTGGTCTGGACAGAAGGAAGGAAGAAACAAACAGCACCTACAGCAGGCCTGGAGCCAGGGTGTCACTGGGCCAAGGCCTTGCCATGTGCTTATGACGCTGGGTGGGATGTAGTGTGTGCAGTGACCAGTAGGGCGGGCGCAGGACAGACCTTCACGGTCTAGCAGCTGCTCTGCCCCAGGAGTTAGGTCTTTGCCCAACAGTTGGGGTCCTCCCCAGCCCTGCGCTTATCACTGTCTTCTCACATCTGGTGCTCCAGATGCCAAGAGCTTCCTTCTCCAGACATAGACCTCCCCTTCTCCTGAGGCTTTCTCATGCTGTTCTGCCTTCGGGGCTTTTCCCAAACCAGACTGGTGTCAAGACCCAGACCAAATCCCACCCCAACAGAGCACAGAGCCCTCCCTGATCCCTGTCTTCAACTGGAAGGATCTTCTCTTCCTCTGAGCTCCCATAGCGCAGCCCCTCTCTGAAGAGGTTGACATGGTCATTGGGATGATGTCTTAGCTCTGGTCGAGATCACTGAGCATGGAGTCCCTGGAAGGTTCATCTCTTTCCTTCGGTCTCCCTGAGTTTCTTACACAGAGGATATTAGTAGCTTTTGAGTAAGCAGATGAGTCAATAAAAGAGCAGGCAGGAGGCCGGGTGCGGTGGCTCATGCCTGTAATCCCAGCACTTTGGGAGGCCGAGGAGGGTGGATCATGAGGTCAGGAGATCAAGACCATCCTGGCTAACACGGTGAAACCCTGTCTCTACTAAAAATACAAAAAATTAGCCAGGTGTGGTGGCGGGCGCCTGTAGTCCCAGCTACTGGGGAGGCTGAGGCAGGAGAATGGCATGAACCCGGGAGGCAGAGCTTGCAGTGAGCTGAGATCACGCCACTGCACTCCAGCCTAGGCGACAGAGCGAGACTCCATCTCAAAAAAAAAAAAAAAAAAAAAAGAGCAGGCAGGAAAATGAGAGAAGGAGTGGGTGAGCTGGTGAGCAAGCAGCCGGGTAGCCCAGCACAGCCCTTGGCAGCACGAGGACACTATGGAGTGATGAGGAAATGCTTCTTCCTTTCCCTCGGGCTCTCAGCCTCAGGTCTGAAGTGGATACACACTCTTGTGATATGGCTTTCTGGACCATCTTTGGGCCCCTGTGGACTCTGGGAGAAGGCCTTGAGTAGGTAGGGAGGTAGGGCAGAGACAAAGGGCTGCTCCTCATCTTCTTATGAGAGATTGGGAAGGGGATGAGGCTTAGGAGAGGTAAAGGCTTTAAGCACCTGAGAGCACAGTGGAAGTCACCTGAAGGATGCAACCTCCCAACATTTTGGTTTAAGGTTATGTTGGTTTATCTGCTTATTGGTCCTGTCCACCTATCCTACCCTCCCAATTACTTATTATCCATCCATCCATCCATCCATCATTTATTCACCCATCCGTCATCTATTCATCCATCCATCCATCATTTATTCATCCATCCATCCATCCATCATCTATCCACTCATCTACCTATCATCCATCCATCCATCCATACATCATCTGTCCATCCATCCATCAACCATCCACTCATCTACCCATCCCATCCTCCATCCATCCATCCATACATACATATATCTGTCATTTATTCACCCATCAATCATCTATTCATCCATCCATCAATCATTTATTCATCAATCCATCCATCATCCATTCACTCATCTACGCATCATCTATCCATCCATCCATCCACCTATCCATCCATCCATCCTCCATCCATCCATCCATCCATCCATCCATCATCCATCCACTCATCTACCCATTCCATCATCTGTCCATCCATCCATCCATCATCCACCCATCCCTCATTCTATCATCTCTCCATTATTCATTCATCCATTTATCTGGGCATCTATACAACCAACCATCCTTCCTTCCACTCATTCATCTTTCACTCATTATCTATCCTCCCACTCATTCACTGATGAAGTCTTCTGAGTGTTAGGACCAGTGTTGGGAATCAAGGATAATTCAACTGTAGTCTCTGCCATTGAGGAATGTATAGCTGTAGGATGGTGTATTGTCCAGAGTGTGGAAAGTCGTGGCCTCATTGTACTATTTCTTGGTCAGTTCTGACCAACTCACTGGAACAGCAGCTCTGGAAGGGATGGAAATTTTGTCCACTTGTTCACTACTGTATCCTCAGCTGCAGAAACAGTGCCTGGCACATTGTAGATGCTCAATAAATATTTGTTGAGTAAATGCAACACTGAGGAATGCAGACAGGTAGGGCGGGATGGGGAGCAGGGGACAGACTGGACCAACATTCTTGGGGAAAAAGCTGTGGGTATAGGGCTTGGAGCTCTGTCTGGAGATAATTTGGCAAATCTCAACCAGGATGTTTTGGGGCTGAACCACTAGCAAATGTGTTTGGAGCTTCTAGGTCAGGCTGTTGTTGCGGAGCGACTACTTTAGGGCAAAAGTTCTGGGGCACTGCAGGGCCGCAGGGAAGTGGCAATCAGACTGGTTGACCTCCGATGCCCACTTCAGCTGGAATTCCATAAGAGGACGATCCCAGAGCTACCCTGGCTCCAGGGTCCAGACCTTAGGGATCATCTGGCCCAACCATCATCCATTCAGGTGAAGATGACTGGCCCAGAGATGGCAAGTGATCATCTGGGGTCATACAGGAGGCAGAGACACAGCTGGACTAGAACCCAGGCTTTAGGTTCCCAGGCAAGGGTTTAAATCCTCCCTTTGTCTTCCCTTTTGGAAGAAGGGTTTGATTGGGAGCTCAGATCAGAAGGTTCCTTTTGGTGGGCAGGAGACTGTCAGGTGAGGCAGGTGAGACTGGCAGCCAGTACTGCCCTCCACCCCATGTATCCCCATTTCTGGATTAGCGCTGAGCCTTCTAGGTTTGTCTGTGCTGGAGGAAAGGGCAGAGATTCCTTGGGAAAGCCCGGGGTCTCTCTCCTGCTTGCCCCACCCCAGGAAGTGGCCATGCCAAGCAACCTCCCTTTGTGGCCAACCCCTGGAGCTAGTTTAGCTGGAAGAAGGCTCAGATTGCTAAGGCGAGAGCAAAGAAGCATGGATTGCAGTGTGGACTATGAGCCTGGATGTCGGGAAGCAGGTTCTTTGACCACCTTGACTTTTACCCTGGGGGGTGACCATGGATGAGCTGCTTCTCCATACTGAGCCTCAGTTCTCTTGTCTGCAGAATGGGGCCACAGTCCCTTTCCTGCTACCCTCCCTCCTGAATGTGACACAGCTGAGACTGCCCTTTGGGAGCTCTTCTGTAGTCTTGTGAGGAAGGAAGGGGCATGTTGGTCCCTTCTGGGCCTTAGAATGAAGGAGGCAGCAAAGGTGCTTTAGGAGCCCCGTGTGCCTGGAGAGGCCCTGCTGGTCAGGAGGCCACAGTCCCTGGCCAGGCCACAGAGGCTGCAGTTGTCCTGTAGCAGCTGCAGGGCAGGAGAGTTGCTGCCACCGAGGTCACCCTCAGCCTGATCCTCACAGTCCGGGTTGTCGTCAGCCAGAAGGCTCTTCTCTGTGCGTGTGATTGTGGTTTCCAAGAACATGGGTGCCTGTGTTTGTGGGTGTGTCTGAAGGTGGAGCTGGCGGTGTGTCTGGCTGGGAGTCACATCACGGGTGTATGTCTTGCTTCTTATAGGCCAGCGTCTCTCCTTCGCTGGGGCTCAGCCAGGCCACAGGGCCGGGGGCTTCTGTCTCTCTTCTCCCAGCCCAAGGAGAAAGCTGCCCTTGCCCTGCCCCTCCCCTCCGCTGCCCCCCTCCACCGCCTGAGATGGCTTCCTTCTCCACAGGGAATTCCCAGCCCTGTCCTCTGACCCCTCAAGTCCTCCCTGCTCTAGATCAGCCATTTTTTTTCTAGAGGAGTCTCCCTCTGTCACCCAGCCTGGAGTGCAATGGTGCGATCTTGGCTCACTGCAACCTCCACCTCCCAGGTCCAAGTGATTCTCCTGCCTCAGCCTCCCACGTAGATGGGATTACAGGTGCGTGCCACCACGCCTGGCTACTTTTTGTATTTTTAGTAGACATGGGGTTTCACCATGTTGGCGAGGCTGGTCTCAAACTCCCGACCTCAAGTGACCCTCCTGCCTCTAGCTCTCAAAGTGCTGGGATTACAGACTTGGGCCACTGCACCCAGCCTAGATCAGCCATTTTCAGCCCATTTTCTGCTGTGACAAACAGCACAAGTGCTGATCAGCGGGGGCAAGTATAACTCCAGCCATCTCCCTCTCCCTCAAGAGCCAGGAAGGCCCGCGTGGATCTCAGAGTCTAGGGACGGCCCCTCAGAAGGCGTCTGACTTCAGACCTGAGGCCTGAGGGTGGGTAGGTGGTGACGGGAAAACCTAGCTCCCAGTACCATCTTCCCCATCCTTGAGGTGTCCTTTGTACCTGGAGGTGGCTGCAGACAGGGCAACCTGGCTCAAGTGTTAGGCCACCCGCAGTAGAGACCCGGGTTCAGCCATCCAGTATTTCTAGCAAGGAGAGTCACCCAGACCCAGTTTTTTTTTTTTGAGAAGGAGTCCCGCTCTGTTACTCAGGCTGGAGTGCAGTAGCACGATCTTGACTCACCGCAACCTCTGCCTCCCGGTTTCAAGCAATTCTTCTGCCTCAGCCTCCTGAATAGCTGGGATTACAGGCGCATACCACCACACCCAGCTAATTTTGTATGTTTAGTAGACACAGGGTTTTGCCGCATTGGCCTCAAACTCCTGACCTCAACTGATCTGCCCACTTTGACCTCCCAGAGGGCTGGGATTACAGGCATGAGCCACCACACCTGGCCTAGCCCAGCTTTGAATCTGGACTTTGCTACCTATCTGCTGCGTGACCTTGGGCAAGTTGCTTTATCTACAGATAGAAGCCACATGTCTCCAAGGGGGGCCTTCCTCACCTTGACATTGTAAATTAGCAGCTAATTGACACTACAGGACAAGAGGAGACTAGAAATTGTCCTCCCTCACCCGACCCCACTGAGACAAATGCATATCTGACTGCTTCCCCTATGCGTCTATGTTTTTGTTGGTTTGTTTGTTTTTTGAGATAGAGTCTCGCTCTGTCGCCCAGACTGGAGTGCAGTGGCATGATCTCGGCTCACTGCAACCTCCACCTCCCGGGTTCAAGCACTTTTCCTGCCTCAGCCTCCCAAGTAGCTGGGACTACAGGCATGCACCACGACGCCTGTCTAATTTTTGTATTTTTTGTAGAGACGGGGTTTCTCCATATTGGTCAGGCTGGTCTCGAACTCCCGACCTCAGATGATCCGCCCGCCTAGGCCTTCCAAAGTGCTGGGATTACAGGTGTGAGCCACCATGCGTCTATGTTTGTCTTCCATAAAGTGCAGATTTACTGAGCGCAAGATGAATCCATAATTGACTGTTTCCACTACCCACCCCTTTTCACGTGCAACACGTGCTCAGTAAGCAGAATCGAAGCCTCACAAGAACGTGGCCCTGTGCTCCCTGTTTTCTTTCTTTTTTTTTTTTTTTTTTGAGACGGAGTCCTGCTCTGTCACGCAGCCTGGAGTGCAGTGGCGCGGTCTCGGCTCACTGCAGCCTCCACCTCCCAGGTTCAAGCAATTCTCCTGTCTCAGCCTCCCGAGTAGCTGGGGTTACAGGTGCCTGCCATCATGCCCAGCTACTTTTTTTTTTTTTTTTGCATTTTAAGTAGAAACAGAGTTTCGCCATGTTGGCCAGGCTGGTCTCAAACTCCTTACCTCAGGTGATCTGCCCGCCTCAGCCTCCCAGGGTGCTGGGATAATAGCCCCTGCACCCGGCCTGCTCCCTCTTTTTTTTTTCTTTCCTCCTTTCTCTCCTGCCCACTTTTCACCTTTAAATATTGAGGCCCTCAGAATCTTGTTCAGAGGAGGAAGTGTGGGCCACAGATCCTACTGGGGCTTGTGTGTCTTCTTCCCGGGTGTGTCCTCAACCTTGGCAAAATAAACCTCTACATCAATTGGGTTCGCCTCAGTCCTTTTCTTTAGTTTCACACTTGACTCGCAGCTCCCTGGAGACCATCTGTGAAACGTAGGTGATAATGACAGTGTCCATCTCCGAGGGCTCCCGGGAGGGCTGGGCAAGGCCATTTGGGCTCAGAGCTGGCCAGGGTGTGTGCTCAGCATGGGGGCACCCTCTGGGGCCAGGAGGCAGGACACAGGCAGACAGGCTCTGCCTGGCTCGGCCCTAACAGGCTTCCTCCGTGTTCCCTCAGTGCACACTTCTTCCTGGAGATAGAAGGGTTTGAACCCAACCCCACAGTTGCCAAGACCTCTCCTCCTGTCTTCTCCAAGCCCATGGATTCCAACATCCGGCAGTGGTGAGTACGGGCCCCAGCCCAACCCCTTGCCCTGGGCCCAGCCCTCAGCTCCAGCATGTGGCCAGTGACTTGCCCTGGGTCACGGGGCCAGGCCTGGCTGTGGCATGCTACCACTGTCTATTATAAAACTTTATTATTATTATTTATCTTTTTGAGATGGAATGTCGCTCTGTTGCCCAGGCTGGAGTGCAGTGGCCCAATCTCAGCTCACTGCAGCCTCCACCTCCCAGGTTTAAGCGATTCTCCTGCCTCAGCCTCCCAAGTAGCTGGGATTACAGGCACATGCCACCACGCCTGGCTAGTTGTTGTATTTTTAGTAGAGACAATTTAGTAGAGACAGTTTAGTTTCACCATGTTGGCCAGGCTGGTCTCGAACTCCTGACCTCAAGTGATCCACCTGCCTCGGCCTCCCAAAGTGCTGGGATTACATGCATGAGCCACCTCACCCGGCCCATTTTAAAACTTTAAAACCCTCTCTGTTCCCCCTGCCAACACCTCCAGCATCTCTGGTAACTGTGATGACATGGACTCCCCCCAGTCTCCTCAGGATGATGTGACAGAGACCCCATCCAATCCCAACAGCCCCAGGTAAGTCTGCCCCTCCCCCTCCACCCACTGTGCCCACCCAGGCTGGGGGTGCCAGAGAGACAGGATCCGGGGCCCTGCAGGAAGGAGAAAGAATCCACCATTCCTGGGGATTGGGACAAGTGGAGTCATGGGTCCATGGCATGTAGGACGTTTACGGGGAAGGAGTGGAGTATTGAATTCTATAAAACCCATTTGTTATGAAACATTCAAACAGCAGGATGCAGTGGAAAAAGAACTGTAGCACGACACCATTTATGTGAACTAAAAATACATAGCCAGGTGCAGGGCTCATACCTGTCATCCCAGCACTTTGGGAGGCTGCGGCAGGAGGATCACGAGGTCAGGAGTTCAAGACAAGCCTGACCAACATGGTGAAACCCCGTCTCTACTAAAAATACAAAACTTAGCCGGGCGTGGTGGCGCATGCCTGTAATCCCAGCTACTGAGGAGGCTGAGGCAGGAGAATTGCTTGCACCCTGGAGGTGGAGGTTGTAGTGAGCTGAGATTGTGTCACTGTACTCCAGCCTGGGTGACAGAGCAAGACTCTGTCTCAAATAAAAAAAAGAAAAAAGAAACAAAAGGAGACATCAACGCGTTACCATGGTTGCTTATCTGGAGTGGGAGGACAGGGAAGGATAGATTTTAAAAGTTCAAACAACATAAAATATGAAATCTTATATTTTCAAGGTAATGTCTTTAATAGGCATAGATCCTTCCTGATCATTACTTCATGCATCCAAATGTAGGTATTTTGACAAAATGTGATTGCATATGGATTACAAGGGGAGCCTGATGGGTCCACACAGAGCCCAGGAGTTTGCAGGCATTGTGACAGGCATGGGAGATGTTGGCGGCAGCTGCAGCGCCCCGTAGGCAGCTCTGGCGGGGAAAAGGAGAGATTGAGCTTGAGAGGATGTGTGTGTTGAGTTGGAAACATTTTCTGGCTTCAGTGCACAGCTGGCCAAGGAAGAGCAGAGGAGGAAAAAGAGGCGGCTGAAGAAGCGCATCTTTGCAGCCGTGTCTGAGGGCTGCGTGGAGGAGTTGGTAGAGTTGCTGGTGGAGCTGCAGGAGCTTTGCAGGCGGCGCCATGATGAGGATGTGCCTGGTGAGTGTCTGAGCCTGGCAGAGGGTGCAGGGCTGGGGGCCCTGCTTGGCTTCTGGTGCCCATTTTCCCCTCCCCTCACCAACCCATGAGGCTGGAGTGTGAGGGGCCTTGAATTCTGGCTAGGGACTTTGAACTTGACTCCGAGGAGAATGGGGAACCACAGAAGGGTTTGGGCAGGTGAGAGTCGGGTCTGACTACTGTGTGGAAGATGGGGGTGAAGCTGGAGAAGGCCACTGTTCAGGCAGGGCTGGGACCCTGAAGCAGGGCTTGAGAAGGGAACGGTTCTGAGCAGCTCCTCGGCCAGTAGCATTGGCAGGATTTGAGGACCTGGGGAGTGAGGGACGGGGGGTCCAGCATGGTGCCATTTAGACTTGGGTAGCTTGGTGGCTGGTGGAGCCCTGGGTGTCTCGGGGACCAGTGCAGTATCAGGTTGATGGGGAGGCCATGAGCTTTATTTGCAGGCCACGAGGAGGGGGCAGGCTGGAGACAGATTCCAGGGTGGCAGCAGGGGGGTGGACAGCGGGAAGCCATACAGTGGGCAAAGAGCAAAAGGCCTCAGATACGTCACCCATGGGCCACAGAGAGCAAGGAGCCAGCATAGGAGACGGAGGAGAAACAGCTGGAGAGGGAGGAGAGCGGCCAAGTGTAAGGTCTGGGAGTGGAGATGTGGAGCAGGGGCTTGGGGTCTGCGGCTGCAGCAACCACACCCTCTGGGCTGGGAGGGCCAAGGGCAGCCGGGGCCCTCCTGTAACTCCACCCATGGCCCTGCCTGCAGACTTCCTCATGCACAAGCTGACGGCCTCCGACACGGGGAAGACCTGCCTGATGAAGGCCTTGTTAAACATCAACCCCAACACCAAGGAGATAGTGCGGATCCTGCTTGCCTTTGCTGAAGAGAACGACATCCTGGGCAGGTTCATCAACGCCGAGTACACAGAGGAGGCCTATGAAGGTATCCTGCCTGCAGAGGGGCTGTGCAGACAGGAGTCTCTGAGGGTGGGGTATGGGGCCACAGGGCCACTGCTGGCCAGGCCACGTGGAGGCACTGCTGCCATTGAGGAGCCCCAAGCATGTAGCATGGTACCAGGGATGCTTCAGGCAACCCTCTCTTTCTTCCTTCATTCTGCAAATAATTTTGAGCACTGGTTCCATGCCAGGCATTGTTTTTGGCATGGGCATGCACTGGTGAACAAGACAGGTTAAAGCCACTGCTCTAAGGCCGGGCGTGGTGGCTCACGCCTGGAATCCCAGCACTTTGGGAGGCTGAGGCGGGTGGATCACCTGAGGTCCGGAGTTCAAGACCAGCCTGACCAACATGGTGAAACCCCGTCTCTACTAAAAATACAAAAATCAGCCGGGCATGGTGGCAGGTGCCTGTAATCCCAGCTACTTGGGAGGCTGAGGCAGGAGAATCACCTGAACCCAGGAGGCGGAGGTTGCAGTGAGCCGAGATCGCCATTGCACTCCAGCCTAGTGACAGAGCGGGACTCCATCTCAAAATAAATAAATAAGTAAAGACAGAAAGAAAAAGAAACAAAGAAAAGAAAGAAAGTCACTGCTCTAAATAAGATAATTTTAGATTTAAAATATTACGAAAATAAATGAAGATAGTGTGACAGAAAGTGACTGGGGGAGGGCAACTTTAGAGTGGACAGTC
This sequence comes from Homo sapiens, assembly GCF_000001405.40. Classification (NCBI taxonomy): domain Eukaryota; kingdom Metazoa; phylum Chordata; class Mammalia; order Primates; family Hominidae; genus Homo; species Homo sapiens. Next base: position 3,541,816 of record NC_000017.11, on the reverse strand, counting down.
AGAGTGGTCATCTTTGGCCTGAGGCCGACATGATGAGAAGGATCAGGGCGAAAGCCCCAAGATGGGATTGAGCTTGGCATGGTTGAGCAATGAAAAGAAGGCTGGAAGTGAGGCAAGAGAGCCGGGCAGGGGCCACCAAAAGTCGACTGTTGTCATCATCATCATCATCATTAACTGTCCCCATTTGGGTCTCAGTTTTGTGGATTTCTTTGTAAGTGGGCCAGAGAGGATGCTGGGAGAGCAAATTTGGGAGAGTGGCTCCCTCCCAGGAAATCCACAGGGGAAAATCAGTAAGATGTGTCTTTATTTGAGTTTTGGAGTCAGTCAACAGCGCTTTACGGTCTTATGAGGTGCTCGTGGCAAAAGCGATTGACTCAATTATAATTGGATGCCGTCTTGCTGATATGCTGGGGGCACTAGATGTTTGAGCTTTTTTGTTTTTGTTTTTTGACATGGAGTCTCGCTCTGTTGCCTAGGCTGGAGTGCAGTGGCGCGATCTTGGCTCACTGCAACCTCTGCCTCCCAGGTTCAAGCGATTCTCCTGCCTCAGCCTCCCAAGTAACTGGGATTACAGGCACCTGCCACCATGCCTGGCTAATTTTTTTGGATTTTTAGTAGAGACGGGGTTTCACCATTTTGGCCAGGCTGGTCTCAAACTCCCAACCTCAGGTGATCCACCTGCCTTCACCTCCCAAAGTGCTGGGATTCCAGGCGTGAGCCACCACGCCCTGCCACAATTTAGGTTTTTCCAGGTGGGAGTTTAGCTTTGGCCTTTAACCCTTCTCATGGGAGAAAGTAATTGTGATTTATTATTTGAACTCTGCAGACTTTCAAAAGCATTTTTGTTATATATAAGAAGAAGTCAAGGATTGTGACAAACTAGAAGATATGGAGTGGAGGAGAGGAAACCTAGGGAAGACTGTTGCAACTGAGTGCTAAACTGCTCACTGAGCTCCCTGGTAGCCAATGCAAAGAGAGAAACTGGATGAACCATATCACATTCTCAGCCTGTCTCTAAGGAGTTGACAGTAGTCCTGCAGACAGGGAGGTTCAGGCCAGTGCCTCAAGCTTGCTTGTCCTAATTTTCCCTTTTCAGTCCCCTTTGTATCCTCCTTTCTTCTTGTCAGTATTGTAGGACTTACGAACTACCCTTTGCTAGCAACATGTTTCCCTTGAGGGCAGGGATGAAGTCTGTTGCTTACAGTTCATTTCCCAGTACCCTTAGGGTCTCACCTAAGAGACGCTTAGTACATATTTTTTGGATGAGTGAATGAAAGAAGGTTGTTAGTGTTTCTGTGAAGACTTTGCTGTCCCGGTCACAGATCCTTACCTCTCCCTGTTCTTAGCCTCCCCTTTCCCTCTCCTTTCATGAATCTGCCTCTTGCTGGGGCGAGGAGGTCTGGGAGGCTGTGGGCACCTCCTCTTTCTCTGAATGGTGGGAGGAGCTATTTATTCTTGTCTTCCTGGAAACCAACCCCACCACCGTTCTGACCCATCCGCTGGTGCCTTCCTTCCTCTTAGCATTTCCTCCACCCGGAGCAGAGGGGCTCCAGGACCAGCAGAGTAGCATTCTTCCACACTCTGGGCAGGACCCAAGGTGACCACTCTGATTGTCCACTCTAAAGTTTCCCTTCCCCAGTCACTTTCTGTCACCCTATCTTCATTTATTTTCATAGCATTTTTTTGTATCTAAAATAACCTTATTTAGAGCAATGACTTTGTTTATTTATTTATTTATTTATTTATTTATTTATTTTTTGAGATGGAGTTCCGCTGTGTCACCAGGCTGGAGTGCAGTGGCACAACCTCTGCCTCCCGGGTTCAGGTGATTCTCCTGCCTCAGCATCCCAAGTAGCTGGGACTACAGGCAACTGCCTCACCTCTCTGAGCCTCAGTTTCCCCACTGGGCAAGGGCGAATATTTCCTCCCTATGCTGCTAAGAGGAACCAATCACAACTTTATTCATATCATTTTAAAGCATTTTATCAGAGGCCTTCAGAGTTTTACTTTTTTAAGCAATTCTTCAATTAAGACATTTTTATTATAAAAATTTTAAACATGAAGTTAAGATATTAGAATAATAAACCTCTACACATCCATCATCAGATTCAATATAACAGTTTCTTTTTATTATTTTACTTTATTTTATTTTATTATTGTTTTTGAGACAGGTTCTCACTCTGTTGGGCAGGCTGGAGTGCAGTGGCGCGACCACGACTCGCTGCAGCCTTGACCTCCCTGGGCTCAGGTAATTTTCCCACCTCAGCCTCCCGAGTAGCTGGGACTATAGATGCGTGCCACCCCGCCCAGCTAATTTTTCTATTTGTTGCAGGGATAGGGTTTCACCATGTTGCCCAGGCTGGTCTGTAACTCCGGGGCTCAAGCAATCCTCCCGCCTCTGCCTCTCAATGATGGGATTATAGGCGTGAGCCACCGCACCCAGCCTAACAACATCCACGTCACATGAATAGAGTTTCATTGTAAAGCAGCCCAGCATTTTACATACTTTTTTTTTTTTTAAGTCCTTTACCCATATACTTTGTGGAGTTTTCTAGGCCTTTGACATTTGTGTGTGTATATGTGCACACAGAAAAAGTTTTATTTATTTAACATAAAATATTATCATACTGTCTGTATTCTACAAGTTGGTTTTTTTGATTAACTATTAACCATATGTCTTGGAGCACTTCTTATGCCAAAATATGAAAGTCTAGCTTCTTTTCACCAGATTCGTCTGCAATTGCGGCTGCACCTTGGCTAATTTCACCACTCCCCCACTGACAGACAGTCAGGTGTTTCCAGCTGTGTTGTGACAATGTCACAGTGCACGATCTTGTCTATGACCCTGTGCACAGGTGCACATATGTTTCAGAAAATATTTTGAATTGGAATATCTGGGTTCAACCGCATGCATATTTAAAGTTATAATAGTGGCCAGGCGCAGTGGCTCATGCCTGTAATCCCAGCACTTTGGGAGGCCAAGGCAGGTGGATCACTTGAGGTCAGGAGTTCCAGACCAGCCTAGCCAACATGGTGAAAACCCATCTCTACTAAAAATACAAAAACTAGTAGGGCGTGGTGGGGCACGCTTGTAATCCCAGCTACTTGGGAGGCTGGGGCAGGAGGATCACTTGAACCTGGGAGGCGGAGGTTGCAGTGAGCCGAGATCGCGCCACTGCACTCCAGCCTGGGCAACAGAGGGAGACTCCATCTCAAAAAAAAAAATTTTTTTTTAAATAAATAAAATAAAGTTATAATAGTTATTGCCAAATTTGTCTCTAAAAGATACTCATTTACTCTCTCCCCACAACGGTGTACAGAAATACTCATTCTCCTACTTATCACTAACACTGCAAATTATCCTTTTTTTTTTTTTTTTGTTCTTTTCCAGTCTGGTGGGTGAAAAGGGTTAACTCTTTAGGTTCTAATTTTCATTTTCCTGACCACCAGTGATTCCAAACATCTTTCACTTTGTTTATTCACTGTGTGTATTTTCTCCTCTGTGAGGTGCTTGTTTATAATCTTTTCTCAGTTTTCTTTTAGACTGTTTGTCTTTCTATTGATTCATAGGCGCTTGTAATATATTATAGACTTTTAAAAACACAATGCCTTTCTATTTTTTTTTTGAGACGGGGTCTTGCTCTATTGCCCAGGCTGGAGTGCAGTGGCATGCTCACTGCAAGCTCCACCTCCCGGGTTCACACCATTCTCCTGCCTCAGCCTCCCGAGTAGCTGGGACTACAGGCACTCACCATCACGCCCGCCTAATTTTTTGTATTTTTAGTAGAGACAGAGTTTCACCAGGTTAGCCAGGATGGTCTCGATCTCCTGACCTCGTGATCTGCCCGCCTCAGCCTCCCAAAGTGCTGGGATTACAGGTGTGAGCCACCGTGCCTGGCATGCCTTTTTTTTTTTTTTTTTTTTAAAAAGACAGAGTCTTGCTCTCTAGCCCAGGCTGGAGTACAGTGGCGCGATCTCTGCCTCCTGAGTTCAAGTGATTCTCCTGCTTCAACCTCCTGAGTAGCTGGGACTACAGGTGCCCGCCACCACACTTGGCTAATTTTTTTGTATTTTCAGTAGAGATGGGGTTTCTCCATGTGGGCCAGGCTGGTCTCGAACTCCTGACCTCAAGTGATCCACCCGCCTCGGCTTCCCAAAGTGCTGGGATTACAGGTGTGAGCTACCGCGCCCGGCCCTAAAACACATTGCCTTTTTATATATCTCAAATATTTTCCCCAGCCTATCACTTGTCTTTAACTTTCATTAGGATGCATTCGGAAATACAGAAATCTCCGAGGTAGGGGGATTGCTTGAGCCCAGGAATTCAAGACCAGCCTGGGCAACACAGCAAGATCCTGTCTCTACAAAAAATTTTAAAAATAAGCCGGGAGTGGTGGTGCAGGCCTGTAGTCCACACGTGTGTGTGTATATATGTACACAGAAATAGTTTTATTTACTTATCTAACATAAAATAGGACCATCACGTCTGTATTCTACAAGTTGCTTTGTTTGATTAACTGTATGTCTTAGAGCATTTCTTATGCCAAATATGAAAGTCTAGCTTTTGGGGGGCTGAGACAGGAGGATCGTTTGAGCCCAGGAGTTCAAGGTTGCAGTGAGCTATGCTCACGCCACTGCACTCCAGCCTGGGTGACACAGCAAGATCCTATGTCAAACATACAAACAAACAAACAAAAAACCAAAAACCCCCAAAACCAAAAACCTTTATGTAAGCAAATATGTCAGCCTTTTCTTTATGGTTTCTGCCTTTTGGATCCTGCTTAAGAAGGTCTTCCCTACCAAAAGGTTAGCTATAAACAAACTTTCTAATGTGTCTTAAAGCTTGGTTCTTTAATCCACCAAGACTATGTTTGTTTATGACACAGCGGCAGCTCTTTGGAAACTGCTGTTTCTGTTGGTGCATTTCGAGACCCTTCCCCCACTCCAGCCTTCTGGTCCCTTCCATCTGGAAGTTCTCTGGTCTCCAGCAGGCTTAGTGTCTCTCCCGCTACCCTTCTTTCCTCTTGCTGTGTCACCAGCGTATCATTCACCCACCGCCAGGGCTGAATACCTAGATCTTACCTGAGACACCCTTCTTCCCAGCCGGGCATCCTGAAGGCTCTTTCTCCAGAGGGTCTTTGGGCTTCCTCCTTTCTCCACCCTTCATGTGCCCTCCAACTCCCCTTAGTCCAGGCCTCATCATTTTTTTGTTTGTTTGTTTGTTTTTTGAGATGGAGTTTCACTCTTCTTGCCCAGGCTGGAGTGCAATGGACCAATCTCGGCTCACTGCAACCTCTGCCTCCTGGGTTCAAGCGATTCTCCTGCCTCAGCCTCCCAAGTAGCTGGGATTACAGGCATGCGCCCCCACGGCCGGCTAATTTTGTATTTTTAGTACAGACCATGTTTCACCATGTTGGTCAGGCTGCTCTCGAACTCCTGACCTCAGGTGATCCACCTGCTTTGGCCTCCCAGTGTGCTGGGATTACAGGCCTCATCATTTCCTTCACTGGTCTCGGCTGCTTCTAACGCATCCTCCACTTTTGCAGCCAGAGAGGTCTGAAAACACCCATGCACCGAGCCCTACATTCTCGTCCTGCCAGTTTCCTAATTCAAGGCCGTCTGTGACTCTGGCCCTTAGCACAAGCTCTGCCCTCTTGCCCTGGCTGATGAGCTGGCCCCACACCGCCTCGCTAAACTTCTGAGGTCCCAGGTTAGAGAGCTCTGGGAAGCCCCCTGACGCTCTCTGGCTGTGAAGGGCCCTTGCTCTGGGTACCGCAGCTCCTGCACCCCTCTGAATCGTAGCACCTCGTTCTCAGTGACACTGCGGGCTTCTTGAGGAAAATAATCGAGATTGCGTCTTGGGCACCCACTGACCCCCAGCGCCTGGGGCCGGAGCCCGGAGCAGGCGCTCCACAAACATTTCTTGGGTCCGCGCAGGCATGAAGGAAGCAAAGAACAAAGCTGGGATTCCTGGTAGCTGGCGACACAGACCAGGGTTCTGATCTCCCCGTGGGTTCGGGGAGGGTATGGAGGCCAGAGCGGGTGGGCAAGAGGCCCCTGTGCCCGGCGCTGAGGCTCCCGCGCGTCCCCGCCCGCTCCGCAGGGCAGACGGCGCTGAACATCGCCATCGAGCGGCGGCAGGGGGACATCGCAGCCCTGCTCATCGCCGCCGGCGCCGACGTCAACGCGCACGCCAAGGGGGCCTTCTTCAACCCCAAGTACCAACACGAAGGCTTCTACTTCGGTGGGTGCCGCCCCCGCCCGGTGCGGAGTCTGGGAGGAGGGAGGAGGGAGACGGGAGAGGAAGGGAGGGAAGGGGAAGGAGGGAAGAAGGGAGGAGGGGGGAAGAAAGAGGGAAGGAGGAAGGAAGTGAGGAGGGAGAGGGAGGAAGGGAGGGGGAAACAGGAAGGAGAGAGGAGGGAGAGGGAGGAGGGAGGAAGGAAGCAGGAAGGATGAGGGAGGAAGGAAGGGAGGAGGGAGAGGAAGGAAGGGAGGAGGGAGAAAGGAAGAGGGAAGCAGGAAGGAGGGAGGAAGGGAGGAGGGAGGAGGGAGAGGGAGGAGGAGTAAGGAGGGGGAGGGAGGGAGGAGGGAGGCAGGAGACAGAAGGGAGAAGGAGGAGGGAGAGGGAGGAAGGGAGGAGGAAGGAGGGCGGAGGGAGAGAAAGGAAGGAAGGAGGGAGGAAGGGAGGGGCCACCCCGCTTTGAGCTCCACCCACACTGTCCCTGCCTTAAGAAGCTCTGGTGCCCCAGAGGGGCAGGAGGGGAGGAGGCTGGGCATGTCCATCTGAGCAGGACACCAGGGTGGACCAGAGAAGGAGGGGCTGGGAGGAGGTGTTGGGGGAGGAGTCCATGTTCCGGTGGTGTCACCTGGTGGTCTTAGAAGCATTGTCCTGGGTAGCTCTCTGAGGGAACAGAGACCTGGGAGGGAGGCTGAGGAGGCAGCCCCATTTTACAGGCGAGGAGATGGCTCTGTGAAGGGAAAGGACTTGCCCCAGGGTAGCAGGGCATTGACTTAGGTGTCCTGGCCTCCAGCTCTGACCTCTGTGCCAGGGCCCAGTGCATCTCAGGACTGCAGACAGGGAGTCGAGAGTGAGAGGGCAGAACTCCCCTGCCTCACAAGTCACAGAGTCCAGAAGCAATTGGGGTTAGGATGCTCTAGGAAAAAAAAAAAAAATTGAAATGCATAATTTAGATATAGTGAAAGTCACCCGTGTTAGAGGACAGTTCTGTTCATTTTCACAGTGCGTCGAGTTGGTTCACCACCACTGCAGTCAGAACAGGGAACAAATGGCTCCGTCACACACAAAAATTTCTCTGTGTAACTTTGTTGCAGAGGAGACCCCTCCTGCCACCCAGTCTTGCCTGACTGATGATCACCCATCTGTTTTCTCTTCTGGGTGTTATTTTTTTTATTTTTATTTTTTTAATGGAGTCTCACTCTGTTGCCCAGGCTGCTGGAGTGCAGTGGTGCCATCTGGCTCACTGCAGCCTCTGCCTCCTGGGTTCAAGCGATTCTCATGCTGCAGCCTCCTGAGTAGCTGGGACTATCTTCTGGGTGGTTTTTTAATCAGCAGGACTAGCTAGTCTGTGCTCTGGGCAGCCCTGCGTGTCCAGGTGTGGGTGTCCTGGAAAACGGGGTCTTGTCCAGTTCATCGTGTGTCCCCATTGCCCTGCATAGGAGCTGGTTGGACCTGGTGTTGGGAAGCATTTGTTGGGTGGGGCGAGGAGAGGGGAGGCAGCTGAAGACCTGGTGTCCGGAGCTGGTCGTGTCCCAGGCTTGCTGTGTGACCTCATGTGAGTCACTTGCCTTATTTTTTCTTAACAAGCATTTATTGAGCACTTACTGTCTACATCAGGCACTGTTCTAGGTACTTGAAATGTATCAGTGAACAAAATAGAGATCCTTGCCCTCATGGAACTTACATTCTAGACAGGGAGAGACCATCGGTAATAAGCACTATAAATAAGAATTTTATATACTATGATATGAAATGATAAGTGCTCTTAAAAAATACAAAGTAGACCGAGTGCAGTGACTCACATCTGTAATCCCAGCACTTTGGGAGGCCAAGGCAGGTGGATCACGAGGTCAGGAGTTCAAGACCATCCTGGCCAACATGGGGAAACCCCATCACTACTAAAAATACAAAAATTAGCCGGGCGTGGTGGCGGGCGCCTGTAGTCCCAGCTACTCAGGAGGCTGAGGCAGGAGAATAGCTTGAACCCGGGAGGCAGAGGTTGCAGTGAGGCGAGATCGCACCACTGCACTCCAGCCTGGCGACAGAGTAGGACTCCATCTCAAAAAAAAAAAAAAAAGTAAAGCAGAGGACAAGGAACCAAGAGTTCTGTCTGGGACAAGAGGAGGGTGGATTTTAATTTTAAATAGAGTGGTTAGGGTGGCTCACTGAAAGGTGACATTTGAGCAAGGACTTGAAGGAGGTGAGGGAGAAAGTGACTGGGCTATCTACAGGCAGAGGGGACAGCCGAGCGAAGGCCCCCAGGCGGCGTGTTGGAGGAGGTGGAAAAAGGCCGTTGTAGCAGGAGGGAGTGAGTGATGGAGAGAGGAGGTCAGAGTATGCAGGGCTTTGTGGGCTGTCATTGGAACCTGTGCTTTCATTCTGGGGGAGGCACTAACAGGTTGGTCTGGCTGCTGTGCTGAGCAGAGTATTAAAGGGCCAGGGTGGAGGCAGGGAGGCCAGTTAGGAGGCTACCGCAGTGATCTAGCTTCACTCTTCCCCGTAGAAGCGGAAGATGGGGAGAGGGCTAGGGAACCTGAGGTGCCCATCCTGCTGAGATAGGATATGGGCCCCAGTCCTGGGGCTTGGGGGACGCTGCTTCCGGCCCATGAGAGAACCAAGCTTCAGTGCGCTCATCCCCCAGGTGAGACGCCCCTGGCCCTGGCAGCATGCACCAACCAGCCCGAGATTGTGCAGCTGCTGATGGAGCACGAGCAGACGGACATCACCTCGCGGGACTCACGAGGCAACAACATCCTTCACGCCCTGGTGACCGTGGCCGAGGACTTCAAGACGCAGAATGACTTTGTGAAGCGCATGTACGACATGATCCTACTGCGGAGTGGCAACTGGGAGCTGGAGACCACTCGCAACAACGATGGCCTCACGCCGCTGCAGCTGGCCGCCAAGATGGGCAAGGCGGAGGTGGGGCCATGGGGCGTGGGGAGGCAGGAGGTCGGGAGGTCAGGAGGTACAGCTGCCACCCTCTCAGCCCCGGGGGCCTTACTGGGGATTCACAAACCACAGCCTCAGCCTTGAGAAGGTCCCAGCCTTGGGTCCAGAACTGCAGTGGCGTGGCGGCCGGAGGCAGGTTTGTTCTGAGGGGCCACGCGGAGCTGGTGCGATGCAGCCCACTCTCTAGACTTCAGTCCCTAATACGCCGCGTTTCCATCTCTTGTCCTGGGAGGGCTAGGCTGGGGGAGCCTGAGGCTGAGGTGACACAATAGCCCCAGCAGTGGGTGGCCCTTGGGGCCTTCTGCCTCTCACGAGGACGGGAGTTCCAGAATGGCTGCTGCGGGCGCAGCGCTAATATGCTGCCATTTCCCAATTATGGGGAGACCCCAGCCTGTTTGTGCGGTTGGAACTCTGTGCCAGGTCCCCAGCCAAGAGTGTGGCCGCTTTGGGCCCTTCTTGCCTTGTGTGATGTGGCTGAGAAATCGAGGCTTGGCTGGGAGCCTTGGTGAAGACTTGAGCAGGGCTGGGCTCAGATCTCTTTCAGGGGCCGGTGTCATGGCTTGGTCTGAGATGTTCTTCTCAGGGGACTGATTCTGGGGTCCAAGCGTGTTCCTCAGCCTCACTGTCTCTACGCTCTGCGAGGAGGCTGTGGCTCCTGGGACGCCATCAGAGGACACTGGGGGGTGGTGACTGTTGAGTAATCGCAGCTGTGCCAGCCTCAGGGTACCCGCCTCCCTGGTCAGCTGCCCCGAGGGCCTTGGTCCTGTCCCAAGTGGTCAGGGCTGGGACCCACAAGGGGCCTTTTGATTCTCCCGTGGGGGAGGAGGAGATGGAGAACGGCTTCAACAGAGGAGGAATTGTGTGTCTGCCTCCCCGCAGCTCCTGCCTACCCTCAGGGTCACAGCTTGCTGGGGCTTTGAAGAGTCAGCTTGTGGTTGCAGAAGGAGCCTTCTCCAAGGCCGTCTTCCCTGTGTGCCACTGTGGCGGGTGCTGTCCCTGCCACCCCAGCCCAGGGAGGAGGCTTCCTGCATGGAGCATGGTCCCAGGACCCCCTTGTTTTCTAGGGGACAGTGTGCCCGCTGTGGCCGGCCCGGGGGAGGCACCTGTCTCCCGCTTCCCTCCTCTGTTCCGTGTCCTCCAGAAAACTTTTCTGGATGCTGCCCAGCTTGGCCACCGTCCTGGGGCTTTTATAGGCTGGGGTGCGGGGCGGAGAGACCTGGCCTTATCCCTAGAAGCTCTCTGCCTGGGCTCTCATGACAGATGGGATGGGAACCCAGTGGGTCTTGTGAGGCCAGGTCTCTGACACTGTCCTTCCCAACAGTCCCTTCCTCTTGGGTCTTGAGTTGGTGTCCTAGGAAGTCCATGTCTCATCCTGGGGTAACCCAGGGCTCAGCTTTTTGGAAGTAGGAAGCCAGAGACAGCAGCTCTGTGTCCAGCCTGCACTTTGGAGCCAACCAGGAAGCTTCACAAATACAGACTCCTGGGTCCCACCCTGGATATTTCGATTTCATCAGTTGATGCTGTGGGAATTTTTGGTTTTTTTGTTTGTTTGTTTTGTTTTGTTTTTTTTGAGACTAGAGTCTCACTTCATTGCCCAGGCTGGAGTGCAGTGGCGCAATCATGGCTCACGGCAACCTCCACCTCCCAGGTTCAAGCGACTCTCCTGCCTCAGCCTCCTGAGTAGCTGGGGTTACAGGCGCCTGCCACCACACCCAGCTAATTTTTGTATTTTTAGTAGAGACAGGATTCCACCATGTTGGCCAGGCTGGTCTCGAACTCCTGACCTCAAATGATCCACCCGCCTCGGCCTCCCAAAGTGCTGGGATTACAGGCGTGAGCTACTGCACCTGGCCATGCTGTGGGAATTTCTAAGTTTCCCAGCAGCCCTAACATGCAGCAGAGTTTGAGGATCACTGGCCTACCGAAGTCCCACGGGCCTCCCTGTAGGGCGTGGTGTCTCTCGTCACCACCTGCCTGGCCAGAGTGGTGAGCCACAGCTGGAGGAGTCTTGGCTTAGGGTGGGCTGGGGACGCTGAGAACACTTCTGGCTTCTTCTCAAGTCCAGAGCAAATGGAAACTGTTTCTAAAAAATCATCAGTGCCTGGATTTTTCACCGAACCGGGTCCCCAGCTGGCGTGAGGCATTTCAAGCTGATTGTGCAGCTTGCTGCAGCCTGCGAAGAACCTTCACACCCTTTGTCCCTGGTATTCACAACCCCCAGTGAGATGGGCGGAACAGCAAGCTTTGTGCGCATTCCACAGATAAAGACGGGGCCCAGGGGCCATGGCGCCAGGCGCAGAGGCAGGTCTCCACCCATTCTGGGCGGGTGTATCCCCTGGGCCCAGCCAGCCTCTGGCTGGTCCAGCCCTGTTGGCCTTAAGCCCCTGTTCTGCAGCTGATGGTTGTTCCTCCTCCTGTCCCAGATCCTGAAGTACATCCTCAGTCGTGAGATCAAGGAGAAGCGGCTCCGGAGCCTGTCCAGGAAGTTCACCGACTGGGCGTACGGACCCGTGTCATCCTCCCTCTACGACCTCACCAACGTGGACACCACCACGGACAACTCAGTGCTGGAAATCACTGTCTACAACACCAACATCGACGTGGGTCTCCTGCACAGGCGGGGAAGGGCAGGGAGAAGAGGGCTGGACCTCAGGCCAGGGGCTGAGAGGACGCTGGGAAGACCCAGTGCTGCCAGCTCCATCCCTCGGCATCTGCATACCCCACTCTGTTGCCTCAGTGAGCAGAGTCAGGCACAGAAAAGGCGAGGCCTGGGACAGATGCTGGGCCCGACTCTTCCTGATTGACCTTGGACTGTAGACCTGAGTGGTGGTGGCGGGGGCGGTGGGCGGGAGGTCTTCTGGACCGAGTATCCAGGGCTGTTTGGGTGTGGGTGTGGGTGATGGGGTGATTGGGGTTGATCCTTTCCATATTGTTTCTCTCCCACCCCCCGTTGGTGTATACGGCCAGGCTTAGAATTCTTTCTTCCCCAAAACCTGGTCCCAAATGAGGGTCAGAGAGTGCACTGAGGAGCAATCGGGGGGCCTTCCTGGAGGAGGCTAGAGGGGAGAGTTCGGTGCAACTGGAGGTGAAGAGAGGAGCAGCTATGAGAGGTGTTCAGCTCTTGGGGGCAGTGAGGCAGCAGGCTGGGTCTTCCTCCTTCATACTTTACTAAGAGTCATGCTTCCCAGAGTCCCCTTGCCTTGGGTCTTCCCAGACCCTCACAGCAGCCTGGTTGGTAGGGCAGGGATTGTTAGCAGTTTTATAGGTGAGGAGTCTGAGGCCCAGAGAGGGTCAGGGTCTGTCCTAAAGTCACACAGCAAAGGAGGAGCAAACTGGGGCTGGAACCCCTGCCACCACCTCCTGCCCGCTTCTATCCTCCACTTTCTGCTGTGCATCGGGTCCTCCTGCTGCAAGCCCGGGCTCCTGCGGCCTCTGACTGCTGCCCTAGTACCCTGGGGAGGAGCCTCAGGAGCCGGAAATCACCCTCCCAGCATTTCCAACCAGACCAGTCCATCGGGCATAATGATGGGCCCCTTCTGCAGCACTGACTCAGAGCTCCCGCAGGCCTTTAGAAAACGGTCCCTCCCTCTCTCCCTCATCTCCATGGTGACTGGTGGCATTCTACCCCTAGAACCGGCATGAGATGCTGACCCTGGAGCCGCTGCACACGCTGCTGCATATGAAGTGGAAGAAGTTTGCCAAGCACATGTTCTTTCTGTCCTTCTGCTTTTATTTCTTCTACAACATCACCCTGACCCTCGTCTCGTACTACCGCCCCCGGGAGGAGGAGGTACGTGGGCCCCTTGGAGGGGGAAAATGGGGCCGTCAGAGCTGGAGGGGCTTGGAGCTGCCCCACGTGCAGGTGGGAAAACTGAGGCCCAGAGAGACCAGGAGATTGGGCGGGGTCCCCCAGTTGTCCTTCACGCTTCCCAGGGAACTGAATATGTCTTCAGTGCTTAGCCTGGGCTAAGCCCCAGGTGCCGAGTCCCAAGGGCAGACCCTTGCTGGGAGGAAAGTTGGAGAATTCGGAGACTCAGGCCCTGCACAGGGTCTCTGTCTGTAAATATAGAACTAGCTGGGTGTTTCTGCTGTGAGGGCTGCAGGAAACGGGAGGAGGATAAGCTCTCCCTGCCTGCTGGGCTTCGGTTTCCCATGCGTCACGTGGGGCACAGAGCCTCGGCTTTATTTAACGGTGCTGTGAGGCCATGTTGAGTGCCTGGATATGGATGGGTTCCGGAAAGGCTATTGCAATGGAGTGTGAGGGTTGTTAGCACGGATTGGATGATATTCTTCGTTGTAGAGTTCTGGGTTTCCATCAAGGGTGAGGAGAGTTGGGGTCAGGGAGCTGCTCTTCCTTCTCTTGCCCTGTACAGAGATCAGGTTTCATGCTGGTCTCTGGCCCGGCTTGAGTGTTTCACCTGGGTTTTGGTCCCTCTAGAGTTGGTGCCAGCCCTGTCCTCCTTGCTTCCTATACTGACCACCCCTCTTCTTTCCCTGCAGGCCATCCCGCACCCCTTGGCCCTGACGCACAAGATGGGGTGGCTGCAGCTCCTAGGGAGGATGTTTGTGCTCATCTGGGCCATGTGCATCTCTGTGAAAGAGGTAAGTGGGCCACCCGGCCCTTCCAGACCGCCCCGCGAGGCAGGCAGGTGACAGCCTCCATCCCTCTCTGCTCTGCCATTACTGCTGGGGGGTTCTGGGGAGGCGTTTCCTTCCCAAGCCTTACCTTTCTGAGTTATAACATGGGAAAAAATGGATAAGGCTGGCCTATCCTACCTACTTCATCCATCTACTTCTCTATCCATCTGCCCAACTATCCGCCATTTATCTACCTTCCCAGCCACTCAGTGTCCCTTGTCCTCTTCCACCCCCATCCACCCATCCGATCACCTGCCCTCTTTCATGGACCCAGCCACTCATTCATCCATTCACATGTCCACTCATCCTTACCGACCATCCTTCTATCCTTTATCCAACCATCTTTCCATCTCTCCATCTGTCCATCCGTCCATCCATCCATCCATCCATCCATCCTTCCATCCATCCAATGAATCAACACATATAATCTGAGCACCTTCTATATATGTGTGGCCCTGGAGGAGGTGACAGGGTTGGGACGAGTTTGCCCTCTTTGAATTCACAGCCTGGTTGGGGACATAGCATAGGCATAAATATCAAGACTTTATGATAGACCGAAAAAGACCCTAAGCTGGGTTCAGATCAGTGTTCAGAGGAAGGGAGGTGACTTTTATCTGGGGACAGGGAATGGTAGAGATGCTTGAAGGCAGAGATGGCACTTACTCTGGTGGGGTAGGATTGGGCACGAGGACGATGAGGACAAGGTCATTACAGGGTGGATATGGGGAACAGCATGAGCAAAGGCTCGGAGGCTGGAACGCTAGGCTGGATGTGGGGAATGGAAGGCGGCTGTAGTGGTAGTACCGCTTTGCAGGTTCTGGGGTGAGGATGGGGTAAGGAGTGAGGGAGGTGAGAAGATTTGAGGGAGCGTTCACCTTCACCGTGGAGGTGCCTACGCCCCCCAGGCACAGGTCCCCTTTCAGATCCGCCACCTGGACTCTAGCTGGGCCTTTGTGCATTCAACCCTCACTGAGTCTTGGTCCTGGGGAAGCACCCTCTGCTCAGCTCCCCTGCTGAGGGCCATGAAGAGGGTGCACTGTTTCTTTCCTTCCTGGCCTTAGGGCATTGCCATCTTCCTGCTGAGACCCTCGGATCTGCAGTCCATCCTCTCGGATGCCTGGTTCCACTTTGTCTTGTAAGTAGGTCTGGCCCCTTGGTTATCGCCTCACAGGCAGGGTTGACGTCCTGTATGGTGGCTGCCGTGTCCGCCTCTTGAACAAATATCCTACTGTGCCACGGTGTCCCAGTCACTCTGCCATGGTTACACGCCAGGGGTCTCCTCTCTTCCTCCTAGTAGGAGACACGTAAATGCCCATGGAGAAGGTCAGAAAACTTCAGGGCTGTGGGGCCCAGTGGCTCACGCCTGTAATTCCAGCACTCTGGGAGGCTGAGATGGTGGTGATGGCCAACTCTACCCATCACAGAGCCCCACGTGGAAGGCAGCATGGAGTGGAGAAGGCGGCAACAGGCTTAGCAGTCCTGTTTACGTTGTTGTTTTTTTTTTTTAGTTGAGGTGGAGTTTTACTCTTGTTGCCCAGGCTGGAGTGCAGTGGCGTGACCTCGGCTCACTGCAACCTCCACCTCCCAGGTTCAAGCGATTCTCCTGCCTCAGCCTCCTGAGTAGCTGGGATTACAGACGTGCACCATCACACCTGGCTCCTTTTTGTATTTTTAGTAGAGACAGGGTTTCGCCATGTTGGTCAGGCTGGTCTTGAACTCCTGACCTCAAGTGATCTGCCCACCTCAGCCTTGCAGAGTGCTGGGATTCCAGGTGTGAGCTCCTGCGCCGGCCTCTTCTGCTTCTTATTTGTTTTGTTAGTGTGGAGGGAGACATTCTTCATTTCAGTCTAAAATGCAGTTGATGAATTAGATGGTTTTTCTTACAATCGTGCCTGTGTTGTGACTTTGGTTAGCTATTTTATAATTTTGGAAACTGTCTGATGTTATAAGACAGTGTTTTTATCCAGATGTCTGCATAATGGATGTTATGCAGATGTCTGCATGTGACTGTGTAGGAGTAGATATTGATTTTGTATGTTTGCGATATATTATACTTAAAAACATTTTAACTGTGGGCCGGGCACGATGGGTCATGCTTGTAATCCCAGCACTTTGGTGGGCCAAGGTGGGCCTATCATCTGAGGTCAGGAGTTTGAGACCAGTCTGGTGAAATCCCCTCTCTCTACAAAAAATACAAAAATTAGCCTTGTGTGTGGTGGCATGCACCTGTAATCCCAGCTACTCTGGAGGCTGAGGCAGGAGAATTGCTTGAACCAGGGAGGCGGAGGCTGCAGTGAGCCGAGATCATGCCACTGTACTCCAGCCTGGGCGACAGAGTGAGACTACATCTCAAAAAAAAAAAAAAAATTAATTGTGGTAAAATACACATAGCATAAAAGTTAGCATTGCACCCATTTTTTAAGCGTAGAAATCAATACTGTGAAGTACATTCATGTTGTTGGGCAATCAGTCTTTAGAACTGTTTTCGTCCTGTAAAACTCAAACTCCATACCCCTTAAACAACAGCCCCTATTCCTCTCCTTTCCCGGCCCCCTGTAACCACCATTCTTCCATCTTTCTCTGTGAATTGGACTATTTTAGGTACAGTCATATAGTGGAGTCACCTATCTTATTTCACTTAGCATACATCATACTTTAAAAAGATTTAATGCTGGGCGCGTTGGCTCACGCCTGTAATCCCAGCACTTTGGGAGGCCGAGGTGGGTGGATCACCTGAGGTCAGAAGTTCGAGACCAGCCTGGCCAACATGGTGAAACCCCATCTCTACTAAAAATACAAAAATGAGCCTGGTGTGGTGGCGGGTGCCTGTAATCCCAGCTACTAGGGAGGCTGAGGCAGGAGAATCACTTGAGCCTGGGAGGCGGAGGTTGCAGTGAGCAGAGTTCATGCCACTGTACTCCAGCCTAGGTGACAGAGCAAGACCCTGTCTCTGCCCCCCTGACCCCCCCAAAAAACACCACGATTTAAAAAGTAGGGTTTGGGGGACTTTTGCTATGATTGGCTTTTAAGTATAGATATTGGCAGTTTTTGTCATTTTGGTTAAAAATACAATCATTTACCACATCTTTGGTCTACTCCAGTAGTTCTCAAATCGATGCAGGAGTCAGAAATTATGTGGGTGATTTAGATTATTTTTCTTTTCTTTTTTTTTTTTTTTTTGTAGAGACAAGGTCTCACTATGTCACTCAGGCTGGTCCTGAACTCCTGGCCTGAAGCGTTTCTCCTATCTCAGCCCCCCAAAGTGTTGGGATTACAGGCGAAAGCCACTACACCAGGCCCGTGTGGGTAATTTAAAAAATATATGGCCTCCCGGGCAGTACCCTAGAATCTTCTGCGGCCCTGTGGATGTGTGTTTTTTCTTTTTTTAAAGTCCCCACCAGCTGCAATCAGCTTACCACAGGCTGTGAGTGGCATCTGGTGATGTCTCTACAGGCTGAATTCTATGGTAGCCAAATGGATCTGAGGCAGCGTGATTCTGGTCTCTTCAGCATCCGTCACCGGGGTGACTGTTCAGGGGGTTTAAGGGAGGTTTGGGGGATTTGCATATCTTTGCCCTGATGCTGAGAAGTAAGTAAGGCCCGTGTCTCCTGTGTCTCCTGAACAGTTTTATCCAAGCTGTGCTTGTGATACTGTCTGTCTTCTTGTACTTGTTTGCCTACAAAGAGTACCTCGCCTGCCTCGTGCTGGCCATGGCCCTGGGCTGGGCGAACATGCTCTACTATACGCGGGGTTTCCAGTCCATGGGCATGTACAGCGTCATGATCCAGAAGGTGCGTTGAGAGCTGCGCCGGCGGGAGGGCCCTCGGAGGATGGCCATTTTTCAGATGGGGAAACTGAGATCTGGAGAGGAAGAGGGGTTTACCAAGGGGCAGGTCACTGCTCTTTCTCCCAAATGCCATGCACTCCCTTTGCTTTCGGCCAGGCTTTAAGTGTCAAGACCTTAAATCCCCCAGGCTTGTGGGGTGCTGGGGAGGGGTACAGTTTGTGGAGGAATGTTCTCACCCCTGGGCAGTGGCGTGCTGGTAAACATTTAACGACTGTTCTGTGTGTGTGTGTGTGTATGTGTGTGTGTGTAGGTGGAATATGTATATTCCATATATATACACAAAAGACTTATCATACATTTTACTATATAAACGATGTGTATCACACAATTTGCAAATAATGAAAATATACCATGCAGTTTATTGTAAATTCCACATAGCCAGTTGAGTCTCAGAATAATTTGTTGCTTTTTTTTTTTTTTTTTGGAGACCAAGTCTTGCTCTGCTGCCCAGGCCAGAGTAAAGTGGTGCGATCTCGGCTCCCTGCAACCTCTGCCTCCTGGGTTCAAGCAGTTCTCCTGCCTCAGCCTCCAGAGTAGCTGGGATCACAGGCACGCACCACCATGTTGGCTAATTTTTGTATTTTTAGTAGAGACAGGGTTTCAGCATGTTGGCCAGGATTGTCTTGAACTCCTGACCTCAGGTGATCCACCTGCCTCGGCCTCCCAAAGTGCTGGGATTACAGGCATGAACCACCGCGCCAGGCCTATTTGTTGCTTTTTATTGAATTCTAGTTTTTGTTGTCAACTTTTGGTTGCAATTGACAAAAGAGTGCTATCAGACATGAATGTTGGTTGAGAGTTTTCTTTATAAGCAGTGATTGAAGTGAAACAATTAAGATTTATGTTGAACTTTACTTGTTTATCAATGATGTGAGCAACTTCTTTGCTGAATTGGATACTAGTTTGCAAATACCAGAATAATATTCTGTTGATATTTTTGTGCTATACATAATGTAAAGGCTGCAGACAGAACACATTTTAAAATTTAAACTGGATTAATAGTTTCTCCATCACTGTCTTAAATCATTTAGATCTAGATATCAACAAAACAATGAGTCAATCAATCTCTGATTTGTGGCATTTACCAATTTTCATGATGTAAATACAGTAGTCCCCCCTTATTCTTGGGGGAGATGTTCTAAGACCCCCCATGAATGCCTGAAACTGCAGATAGTACCAAACATTATATAATATGCTATGTTTTTTCCTATACATATACATCTATGCAAATAATGAAAATATACTATACAATACAGTTTATTGTAAATTCCACTTAGCCAGTTGAGTCTTAGAATAATTTTTGCTTTTTTTTTTTTTTTTTGTTTGTGACTGAGTCTCGCTCTGTTGCCCAGGCTGGAGTGCAATAGTGCAATCTCGGCTCACTGCAACCTCTGCCTCCCGGGCTCAAGCAATTCTCCCGCCCCAGCCTCCTGAGTAGCTGGGACTACAGGCATGCACCATGCCCAGCTAATTTTTGTATTTTTAGTAGAGATGGGGTTTCGCCATGTTGGCCAGGCTGGTCTCCAACTCTTGACCTCAGGTGATCCGTCCGCCTCGGCCTCCCAAAGTGCTGGGGGGTGGGGGGGGGAATCAACAAATTATTCTAAGACTCAACTGGCTATGTGGAATTTATAAAATTTATTTTATCAATTAGGCATAGTGAGATTAATGGCAATAACTAACAGAACAATGATAACAATATACTGTAATAAAAGTATGTGAATGTTGTCTCTCTCAGAATATTGTATTGTGTGTAATATTTCTGGGTCATAGTTGACCACAGGCAACCAAAACTGCAGAAAGTGAAATCGAAGAGAAGGGCGGACTACTGTTCTCCTCTCAGGGCCAATTTCCAGCTACCAACATTATGTTACTGGACATAGAGTTAGGGAGAAACATGCAGATCCACATCGCTCTAGAATTCCTGCCATATGGCTATGATAGAGACAAGTAACCTCAAAAGCACACACAATTGTAAATATAGTGAAATAACTGGACGGGGATGAGTTTTGAACATTTATTGTCTTTGTTTTATTTAATTAAATTAATTAATTAATTAATTTTTTGAGACAGAGTCTGGCTCTGCCCCCCAGGCTGGAGTGCAGTGGTGCGATCTAGGCTCACTGCAACCCCTTCCTCCTGGGTTCAAGCAATTCTCCCGCCTCAGCCTCTGGAGTAGCTGGGATCACAGGTGTGTGCCACCACACCCAGCTAATTTTTGTATTTTTAGTAGAGACGGGGTTTCGCCATGTTGGCCAAGCTGGCCTCCAACTCCTGACCTCAGGCGATCCACCCACCTCAGCCTCTCAAAGTGTTGGGATTACAGGCGTGAGTCACTGCACCCTGGCCTGTCTTTGTTTTAAATATAACTTATTTTATTTAATTGTAAGTTTATATGGTTTAATTTTTTGGCAATACAAATAATAATTTCTTTACCCCCAGCTTTATTGAGGTACAGCTGACATATATAATTGTATAAATTTAAGATGTACAATGTGAGGATTTGATATAGGTATATATTGTGAAATGATTTCCAATTTCCAATTAACACACCCATCACCTCACATAGTTGCCATTTCTTTGTGTGTGGTGAGAACATTTATGATCTATTCTCTTAGCAAATTTCTAGTACACAACACGGTATTGTTCACTATAGTCATCATGCTGTCCATTAGATCCCCAGAACTTATTCATCTTATTCATTGATTTAGTTCTGAATAATGGCTG